>NC_000015.10:92956429-93107944 GCF_000001405.40 Homo sapiens | reverse complement strand
AAGGCTACACTCATTTACACTCCCACCAACAGTGTATCAATGTCCCGTTCTCTCCACAGCCTTGACAACATCTGTTATTTTTTGGCTTTTTAGCAAAAGCCAATCAGACTGGCATAAGATGGTATCTCATTGTGGTTTTGATTTGCATTTCTCTGAAGATTAGAGATGAGCATTTTTTCATATGTTTGTTGGCTACCTGGATGTCTTCTGAGAAGTGTCTGTTCATGTCCTTTGCCTCCTTTTTAATGGGGTTGTTTTTTGCTTTTTAATTTGTTTACATCCTTACTTTTCCTCTTCAGCTTTCCCTCCAAACCTGCTCAGGCCCCTGGATCACAGGACCCTCCCCTGCACCAAGGCAGCTTCTCCTGTGGGCTGAATGGTGCCTCCTGTCCACAGTCCAGCCAGCCCCACCCGAGGGGACACCCACCTGAATCTGGCAGCACTGCCTCCTCGTTAGGGCAGTGCCACAGGAGTCCTGGTTCCTCCACAGCTCAGCTAAGGAAAGGGCCTTTCCAGCATTTGAAGTGAGTTCAGGCTTCACATCCTTTGAGGGCTTTATTCTTTGGGGCACACTGCAAAAGTCAATTTTCCATTAAAACAGGACATCACAGTTACATGAAAAGCAGTAGATCTAATGATCGGATGATTTCACAGATAACAGGGAAAAAACTGGAAAGACAAACATGCATTTGGAAGCTTTTTACTTTACCAGGAAAGGATATTTTTAGCTGGACACAGTGGCTCACGCCTGAAATCCCAGCACTTTGGGAGGCTGTGATGGGGAGATCACTTGAAATCAGGAGTTTGAGACCAGCCTGGCCAACGTGGTGAAACCCTGTCTCTTCTAAACATACAAAAAAATTAGCTAGGCGTGGTGGTGGGTGCCTGTAATCCCAGCTACTTGGGAGGCTGAGGAAGAAGAATCGCTTGTATCTGGGAGGCAAAGGTTGAGGTGAGCCAAGATTGTGCCACCGCATTCCAGCCTGGGTGACACAGTGTGAGACTCTTTCTCCAAAAAAAAAAAAAAAAAAAAAAAAGGATATTTTTACAACAACAACTTTCTACTATCACCATCATTTCTTTCTTTCTTTCTTTCTTTCTTTTTTCTTTTTTGAGACGGAGTCTCGCTCTGTCGCCCAGGCTGGAGTGCAGTGGCACGATCTCCGCTCACTGCAAGCTCTGCCTCCTGGGTTCATGCCATTCTCCTGCCTCAGCCTCCCGAGTAGCTGGGACTACAGGCACCCACCACCACGCCCAGATAATTTTTTGTATTTTTAGTAGAGATGGGGTTTCACCTGTTAGCCAGGATGCTCTGGATCTCCTGACCTCGTGATCCGCACGCCTCAGCCTCCCAAAGTGCTGGGATTACAGGTGTGAGCCACCGCGCCCGGCCTCATCATTTCTTTTCAGAAAGAATACTTGAACTCATGCACACAGTCGTGCTTGCTCGTGACTATGCATGCTTGTGTACGTATGCACACACAAAAAAAAACCCTCAGAGTAAAGTGTAAAGAACAGCCCTTTCATTGACAATGTAGAGCTTCCTGGAAAGCCGATCACTGTTTAAGAGCACTGGAGTGGGGGTACCAGTCCCCTCCCATAGCCGTATACGGGGACCTAGCTTGCATCCCCATCTTCTCTCACCAAAGATGCGTGTGTCTCAGACCCCAGTCTCCTGCTGTAAACTTCTCCAGTAAATGTACATAAGAAGGAATCAACTCCTCTGCAAGTCACACCTTCCTGAAAAACAAGAGCAGAAAAATTAAAGACTAACAACAAAAATATTGTTTTCGCTATTTGACCATTGTTAACCACCTCCTAAATATGGATTTCCATACTCAGTCTAAGTCCGAAGCTGTTGATTCTATCTTGGTGATGATAGAGGTTTGGCCCAAAGCTTGGCTGGCCCTGTGATGTGGCCTGCTCCAGTGTTAACTGTAGAAGGAAATGCTTTTGCTTATATCTTATGATGAGGCCTAAATCACTCCAGATGTCCTTCAAAGACCCAGGAAGGCATCTCCCCAACTAGTCTACAATGCTTTGGGTGCTCAATAAATACCCATGTAATTGGTTGGCTTTGGTCAGCTCTGAGCAGTTCTGCAGAATGGAGAAATCAACACTTTCATTCTGATAAAGGTGCTGATGCCTAAGTTGTTTGCCAAGCAGGAGATTCCCATTGATATTCAGAAGCAATTTGTAAGGGTTTGGAAGCCTTTGAGAGGGGTGCACCAGTGACTGGGATTGTATAAAGCCCGGCCTCTTAGTCACTGTTGACTTCTCTTCACACAGGTTCCTCACTCCCCAGCAGCCAATTTGTATTCTAATGGTGAGGAAGGAGAGGGCCTCTTGGGAGCTTAGAGTGCATGGCAAGAATCAATTTCCCTCATTCTTGCAAATGTTCTCCCACCTAAATGTGAGTCTCTGAGGATGAAAGAGGAAACCCATAACCAAGAATAACGCGCGAAGATGATGCGCTTATTTTAAAAAAAGAGTCAAGGAGAGGAACAAAAGAATTAAATACAATAAGTAGAAGAAAAATGTTCAACACCATTGGTAATTTTTTAAAACATGAATTGATACAACAAGATGACATTTTTAGTGCATCCGATTGGCAAAATAAAAAATGATAATAGTCCTTCTCCGAGGGCCTGGGGAACCTGGCACTCTCATGCCCCGTCAGAGGACATAAAAACAATCGCAGTTTCCCTAGAAGTCAGTTTTGCTTTATATATCAAATCTTAGAAGTAGACTATCCTTTAAATCAATTATTTCACATGTATAAATGTATTCTAGGAAATAATGAAGAATGTGCAAAGACGTCTCTATATAAGGATATTCACTAAATATTCAACAGCAGGAAGTTGTTTACATTGGTTATGGTATCTAAGTAATGGAATACTGTGAGCATATAGTAATTGTGTATTCGTTGAAGTGGAAAGAAGTTCAAAATACAGAGTTAAATTTTGAAAGGGTTACAAGCAGTAAAGTTACATATATTTTTTTAAATTAACTCCGTTCATTCAAAAAGTATTCCTAAGCAAACAGGATACATCAGAGATCAAGATAGGCAGTTCCCTGCTTTTATAAAGATTGCATTTATTGGGGCGATGGGGTCTGGGAATTGGGTAACAACAAATAAGTATATTAGTGAGAAAACTATAAAATTGTGTTAATGGCTGTGTAGAGAATTAAAGTAGGCTGACGTGATAGAGGTCACTCTAAGATTTTATACTGAAGTGTGGATTACTAAAAGCACAAAGTGTCGAGATTTCTCCAGGAAGGGAAAATAGTCGTCCAAGGTCCTGAGGCAGGAGAAAGATTTAAATGATATGTTTATATACAGCTGGACCACGTGGCTAAAGCAAAGTGGAAGAGGGGAAGAGTGGCAGATGCAGTCAGGGAGGGGAGGTCACATTGCATGGGGCTTGGTAAACCAGGGTAAGGAGCTGGGGTTTTATTCTGCATTGCTGCAGGAAGACACTACAGGTCTCAAACAGGAGACATATCTCATTAATGTTTCTAAATTTCACTCTTGCTCTTGTGTGAAAGGATGGATTTGAGAGCATAAGAATGAAGGCAGAGGGAACGGTCAGTCATCAGTCCAGAGAAGGCTCAAAGGTCACCTGGACCAGGGAAGGAGGTACAGGAGAGAAACAGATGCAGTCAGGATTTAATTTGGAGTTAGTACCAGCTGTTTTTGCTAATGGATTGAGGGCTCCTCAAATTCCCTCCTCTTTCCTCCTTTTGCCTTCAAATTCCAGTTCTTCCCTACAAAGATCCATCTATAATTCCTGCCTTTGGGTTCTCTGAGATGACCTGGACCTCAAATTAAATCTCCCTTTTCTCAAGCTAACTCAAGCTGGTTTTCATTTCTTGCAACCATGACTAAGGTATCAAGCACCTGTTGTGTTACAATCCTCCCAATTGCTATTTAAGGAAGGCACAGCAGTTGAAGCAAGCCATGGTCAGAGAGATGAGGCAGCTTATCCAGTTTAAAATGACAGAGCAAGGATTCGAACCCACGTCTTCAGGGTCCAGAGCCAGCACTTCCTCTTCTATGCCATGCTAGATCAATGAGATGCACCCAGCTTCTAGTTGTCTACCAAATATTGCTAGTTGTCCACAAAATCTAAGCTCCCTTGTTTCCTAACAGTAAAACAATGGCTGCCCAAGTGCATTAATTTCCCAGCCTCCCTTTCAGCTAGATGGGCACATATGACTTAACAGGAGAGGAAGTAAGGATGCAAGAAGAGCCCTGTTTCCTCCACACCCTTTACCTTTCCTACAGGCTACAGCCCAGGCTTGGCAGTAACACAGCTTAAATTATGCAGATCACAATAATTGTGGATTATTGTGGAACAATGACTAATAAGGAACATGAATCCCTGAATGACCACATGGAGCTGAATCTCCCACCAGTCTCAAAAGCTCACCCTGGACTGTTGCAATTGAAATTACTGGACTGTTATATGAGAAATACATAAACTTTAGTCAGGTTATTATTGGGTCTCTTTGTTGTAGCAGTCCAGCTTTACCCTAACTGATATATAACCTCAACATGATCTGCATATTTAAAAATACTAGTGGCCACTTTTGTTAAAAAATAATTGAGCTTCTCAAGCAAATCCTCCAGACATTGGGTAGATCCTTGAGTATCCCCATTCCCACATTCATGGCTGAATTTGTCTAATCTGTAGAATAGACTCAATGCCTGGGTACTCTCTTAGGAGAACCTTTAAAACCTGTTGTTGGTTGGAAACTCAACAACAAGACCTCCATGCATGAGTTATGAGAATTTATTTATATCAGCCAGTGAGATCTCTTCCAAAGGGCTCGAACTTTGGTGACCACCCTAAGATCCCTGGCAGCAGGTATGACATAGTCACTTCCTGGAATCTCATCTGAGTGCTCTAGGAAATCCACTGTCTCCCTGAGCTTCCCGGTGATTCACAAGGTGGGCAGAGCCCACCAGAAGAACAATGCACCGGCAGAGCTTGTCTATGGACAGTGGGTGCATTGACTGGAGGTGACAGTACCACATTCATACTCCACTAGCTTTGGCAGTGCTGCAGAAAGTGGGGTACAAGCTTGCTCCCCATAGTGTTTCTCCATCAAGCCTAGCAGGAGAGGTGAGGAGACAGTAAGGAAAATGAGCCACATGCCTAGTGGAAAATGCACTGGTTTTGGATTCAGGTGGACATGGATTCTAATCCTGACCCTACCACTTGTTCATCCATTCACTTAGCTTTTGGAACCTCAGTTTCCTAGAAAATGGGAATACTCCTACCCACCTCATACAGTGGTCATGAGGACTGAGACAGAGTCTACGATATATATAGAAAGAGTTTGCAGGGAAGGAGCGCAGTCAATAATAGCAAAACAAATTCCAAACTGATCCAGCCTTGATATAAAGAAGTTGGTAAGCCTTGCCCTCCCTGCCAAGCCACCATGAAGGGAGCACGTGAGCCGGCTGGCCCCAAGGTCTCTCAGTTGTCAAGGACAGGCTTCTGTGGGTGCTGTTATGGGGCTGGGAGATGTGCTCGCTGACCACATCCCAGCTGTTCTCCTGCCACTGTGGTTACCCAAACCCTGCAACTATGTTCATGTATAAACCAGTCAGCAAATCACACAGTCAAAGCCTCACGGAAAAGTCCGCTTTCTGGTCACCCTTTTCTCTCGTCCAAATTCATGAAACAACCATGAAAAATGTGTTTGCTTTCTATTCCTGTGGCTGATAGTTTACTGAATAACAACAACAACAACAAAATCTTTTTTTTTTTTTTTTTGCCTTGATTATGGTCCTTACCACGACATAGCAAATGACTGGCCTGTGGGAGAAAAGGCTAAAGAGAAACATAATGAATTAACTAAGTTTTCTTTTCTTTTCATGGGCCCAAGCACTGGGTTTTTGGCTGAAATGCATGCACATACTATCAAATATGGAAAATCAGGTGATTGACTGGGTATAATTTTGCGGCTCCCTCTCATGCTGAAGCCATGATGGTGGGTCCAATCCCATGGTTGGTCTGATCATCATCCACCCCAAACCCTTTTAAGCTTTTCCTTGTGATGTTACCATTGCCACTTACCACCTCTGCCACTCTGATACTCTTCCATTTCCCACTTCTGAAAAGCGTTTTTTTTTTTTTTGAGACGTTATCTCGCTCTGTCGCCCAGGCTAGAGTGCAGTGGTGTGATCTTGGCTCACTGCAACCTCCACCTCCCGAGTTCAAGCGAATCTCCTGCCTCAGCCTCCTGAGTAGCTGGGACCACAGGCACTTGCCATCACGCCCAGTTAGTTGTTTGTATTTTTAATAGAGACAGGGTTTCACCGTGTTAGCCAGGATGGTCTCGATCTCCTGACCTCATAATCCACCTGCCTCAGCCTCCCAAAGTGCTGGGATTACAGGCGTGAGCCACCGCGCCCAGCTTCTGCAAACCATTTGAGACTTCCAGCAGCCCTGTACTTCCCCTGTCCTCTTAGCACCCTCTCATGCTCTCAATAACAGTGTATCAAGATTAGTAGAATCTGGCCAGGCACAGTTGCTCATGCCTGTAATCCCAGCCTTTGGGAGGCCGAGGTGAGTGGATCATCTGAGGTCAGGAGTTTGAGACCAGCCTGGCCAACATGGAGAAACCCCATCTCTACTAAAAATACAAAAATTAGCCAGGTATGGTGGCATGTGCCTGTAATCCCAGCTACTTGGGAGGCTGAGGCAGGAGAATCGCTTGAACCCGGGAGGCAGAGGTTGCAGTGAGCCGAGATTAATAGAATTGGAAGATTAGTAGAATCTTCCAAGCTTGGGGTCTTATGCCTGTAATCCAGCACTTTGGGAGGCCAAGATGGGTGGATTGCTTGAGCTCAGGAGTTTGAGACCAGCCTGGGCAACACTGCAAAACCCTATCTCTAGAAAGATTAGCCAGGCATAGTGGCACACACCTGTAGTCTCAGCTACTCAGGAGGCTGAGGTGGGAGGATCACCTGAGCCTAGGAGGTCAAGGCTACAGTAAGCCGTGATCACACCACTGCATTCTGGCCTAGGTGACAGAGAAAGACCCCATCTCAAAAAAAAAAAAAAAAAAAAAAAAAAAAAAAAAAAAAAAAAAAGATGAGTAGAATCTTCTAGCTAGTCTTCTGCCTTCTGTTTCTCTAAATCATTTTCCATTAGACCTCCCTAAAGTGCAGCTCCACTTACATTATTCCTCTGCTCCATAACCTTCAGTGGCTCCCTATTGCTCACTCGGCAGCCAAGGTGCTCCGTAAGATGGTCCTATGTTATCAATTTGTTTAATACAGTTGCTGCCTCGCCACCCACTTTTAGGCCCAATGTAAATTGTTGGAAACTCAGTTGTACCCCGTCACCTTTGGGTGAGTTAAAACTTCCCCTCCCTATGTGGTTGTGTGCGACATGGCCTTATTGCTCCTCATCTCACTGACACAGAACCCAGCTCCCCCCACAGCTGCTGATCAGGATAAAACCTATTGATCAATACCAGAGTCATGTAAATAAGATCTCCCCTCAGAGCATGTTTTCTTTTTTCTTTTTGAGATGGAGTTTCGCTCTTGTTGCCCAGGCTGGAGTGCAGTGGCTCAATCTCGGCTCACTGCAAACTCTGCCCTCCGGGTTCAAGCAATTCTCCTGCCTCTGCCTCCCAAGTAGCTGGGACTACAGGCACGCACCACCACGCCCAGCTAATTTTTGTATTTTTAGTAGAGAGGGTTTCACCATGTTGGCCAGAATGGTCTTGATCTCCTGACCTCATGATCCACTCACCTCAGCCTCCCAAAGTGCTGGGATTACAGGCATGAGCCACCATGCCCGGCCACGTTTTCTTTAAACTCACCAATCCACAACCCCATAGGGAAAGCCTAGGGAATAACACCCATGGACCTAAATAAAGGCCTGGTCCCATGGATCCTCTCTCTTTCCTCCTGCCCCTCACCAGCTAGTTGAGCTCCCTGTCACCTCCAGACTTCCCCTGGGCCTCCCATGGGCACCCCTAACCTCTCCAGGAGCTGTTTTTCTTCTGCTTCATGCATGTGGGTGTCACCTCCTCATTGTGTCTCACCTGAATGATACACCTGCACCCAACTTTCCCCTGCCAGGGCTTTCCTAGAGTGGCTATCTTGGCTTTTGGCCACTCTAAATAGACCAAATTAGAAAGAAACCATTACAACAAAAATCACATGCCGGGACCGGGGGCTCACGCCTATAATCCCAGCACTTTGGGAGGCTGAGGCGGGCAGATCATGAGGTCAGGAGATCGAGACCATCCTGGCCAACATGGTGAAACCCAGTCTCTACTAAAATTACAAAAATTAGCTGGGCGTGGCACACGCATAGTAATCCCACTACTCGGGAGGCTGAGGCAGGAGAATCGTTTGAACCCGGGAGGCGGAGGTTGCAGTAAGCCGAGATCACGCCACTGCACTTCAGCCTGGCAACAGAGCGAGACTCCGTCTCAGAAAAAAAAAAATCACAACAACTGGCACTGTGAGCAGGGTGTGTGGCCATGACCACAAAGGGCAGGACAGAATGCCTTTTGCCTGCTCCTGCTCACTAGCCATGTGGCTGACCCCATCTGAGGAGGCCCCAGGGCTCACTAGTGTGGGTCCCCACTGCTGTATGCTGCAGCCTGTGGTCTTTGTTGAGTGTTGCCAAGACTCCCCTCCCTAAGTTGGGTGCGTCCTAGAAATTCCAAGTGGTTCTTGGGATGCCCCCCTCTGCCAATGGACCCCATGCTCAACTGCCAGCCTTAATAGGACACTCCCCTGAGTGGGAAGTTCTGGTGAGGGTTCTATTGACTATATTCAGAAGGCCTGATGGCTTGTTACTGAGAAGCAGAAGGGGGTCACCTCTGCCCTGGAGCTGTCAGGTGGACACTGGGCCAGCACAAAGGCCTAGCAGGGTGCAAAAGGGAGGCCCACACTCTGACTACCCACTGAGATGGGGAGGCAGTATCTAGAGAGGTCACTAGGCTTCCCAGACTGACAACAAAGACTTCCCAGACTGACAACAAAGTGTCCCCCTTCATGTAGGTGATGGCAGTCACTGGCAGCAGTTCTGCCGGTGTCTGCAAGCCCTATATTGCTTCGTTCCCTTGCTTCTGTCACTCTTCATTGCCCCCTGACCCTAATGAGGTCAACCGGGACACCCTAAGAGGGAGGTGGCTGCCTACAAATGATCCTGATGAGAAACACAAATGGAGGCCACTGCTCACCATGAGGGCCAGTTAGGACCAGCAGGAGCGCATCAGGTCAACATCTAAAAACAAAGGAAAAAAAAATTTTTTTTTTAGCTGCCTAAAAATATAAGCCATTCTAAAGATTTTGCTTAATGAAAAAAAGGAAAGGGACTGCTGTGGTTTGAATGTGTCCCCCAAAGTTCATGTGTTGGAAACTCAATCCCCAATGCAACAGTGCTGGGAGGTGGGACCTTAAAGACATGATTGAGCCTTGTGGGCTCTGCCCTCATAAATGAATTAATGCCATTGTCGTGGGAATGGACTTGTTATTGTGGAGGTGGGTTCCCTACAAAAGGAGTTCAGCCTCCTTCCCCACACTCACACACCCTCTCACCATGTGATGCCTTCTGCCATATTATGACACAGCAAGAAGGCCCTGACCAGATGCAGGCCCTCAGTCTTGGACTGCCCAGCCTCCAGAACTATAAGAAATAAATCTCTGTTCTTTGTAAACTAACCAGTCTCAGATCTTCTGTTATAGCAGCACAAAACAGACCAAGGCAGAAACTGATCATCATGCAGGAAGGGGGCATCCCAGAGAGAGGCCACTGCCTAGAAGCACCAGCCCCTTACTCCCTGCCCTCTGCATCCTCTCATCAACTAGAGGCAGAAACAAAGACTCTCAGCTTCTGGCGGCCTGAGCCTAAAACAAAACAAAACAAAACAAAAGGCAGGGGGGTGGGAATGCTGCCACTTAAAAAAAAATGTATGTACCAAGTCAATGCTAGGTCTAGCAAACATAATGAAAGCTCTAGACCATTTATTGATTTAAAAACAAACTCCCCTAGATACAACGGAGAAGGGAGTTAAAAGTAATTAAATAAATTATATATACACATATATAATATTTTAATATGAACACATAATAAATAGATTCTATAGTATATGTATAACATATAACTACATTAAAACAAGTTACTATGAGGCCGGGCGTGGTGGCTCATGCCTGTAATCCCAGCCCTTTGGGAGGCTGAGGCGGGTGGATCACCTGAGGTCGGGAGTTCAAGACCAGCCTGATCAACATGGAGAAACACTGACTCTACTAAAAATACAAAAGTAGCCGGGCATGGTGGCACCTGCCTGTAATCCCAGCTACTCAGGAGGCTGAGGCAGGAGAATCACTTGAACCCCGGAGGCAGAGGTTGCGGTGAGCCAAGATCGTGCCACTGCACTCCAGCATGGGCAACAAGAGCGAAACTCCATCTCAAAAAAAAAAAAAAAAAAGTGGGGGCCGGGCGAGGTGGCTCACGCCTATAATCCCAGCACTTTGGGAGGCCGAGGCAGGCAGATCATGAGGTCAGGAGATCAAGACCATCCTGGCTAACACGTTGAAACCCCGTCTCTACTAAAATTACAAAAATTAGCCGGGCGTGGTGGTGGGCGCCTGTAGTCCCAGCTACTTGGGAGGCTGAGGCAGGAGAATGGCATTTACCCAGGAGGCAGAGGTTGCAGTGAGCCGAGATCACGCCACTGCACTCCAGCCTGGGTAACAGAGCGAGACTCCATCTCAAAAAAAAAAAAAAAAAAAAAAGTTACTATGATTTGATCCAATTGATCCAATTGGAAATTCAAATTGTATATATAAATTTATATACTAAATAATTTAACAAAAATATTTCAAAGGGCATGGATTGGCTTTTGCGCTTCTACAACACAGGTTCTCACTTGACTTTAACATTTGCTAAAATGTACCAATTGGCAAAAGTTCCTGGGCTTAGTCAATACTGGGGCTCAAATCATAGTTATACCTGGAGATCTCAGTAAATTTAAACACTGTGCCTCTACCATCTTAAAAAATAGCTAAATATAAAATAGAGAAAAATAAATATGCATCATTTTAACTGTAGCCTTGCCTAAATTTCCTATAGTCATGCACCCATTGCTGTAATATAGTCTATATTAAGCACAGATGCTCTGATACAATAAATAATAAATTAAGCCGGCATGACGGCTCGTGCGTGTAATCCCAGCACTATGGGAGGCCAAGGTGGGAGGATTGCTTGAGCCCAAGATTTCAAGACCAGTCTGGGCAACATGGCAAAACTCCATCCCTACCAAAGATACAAAAATTAGCCAGGCACGGTGGCGCGTTCCTGTAGTCCCAGCTACCTAGGCTGAGGTGGGAGGATCACTTGAGCCCAGGAAGTTGAGGCTGCAGTGAGCCATGATTATGCCACTGCACTCCAGCCTGGGTGACAGAGTAAGACCCTGTCTCAAAAAAATAATAATAATAATAATTGTAAATTAAAGTAAGTTTTTGGCACTTACAAATTGGCTTGATAAAATAAAATCCCATGAACCTCCAGTTAACATGGTCAATTCACAAAGGCCTAATGTAAGTTAAATCAGGATCTTTAAGGATTCAAACTTACTATATACAGCCTAATTAATAAAGGGGTAATGATCTCCACTGTCCCTCCATTTGACAGCCATTTTTGCCTGTTCTTAAATGTAGAAAAAATTAAGGGTGCCTCATAGTGGATTACTACAACCTTTACACCATGTTCCTATTCATTACGGCCTCCATACCCAATTCCCAATACTATGACTAATTCTAGTCAATGACTGGTGAATATTGAGCTCTTATACATTTGGCTAACATGTTCAGTTTTGGGCCTATTTCAACAGCCTCTCGGATGCAGTTTGCCTCCACCTCCAAAAGGGCACAACACACATTTTCCAGTCTACCCACAGGGCACCTCAAGGGCTTTGTCATCACACACAGTCTCTGAAGACAGGATCTTAAGGACATCCACCTTCCTTGGGAGCACAGGCATGACATTACATTGAGGCGATCCTCCTTCAGGAAGGCTCATTTGACACACTTGTAAGGACGTGTAAGTCCAGTATCTCTTAGTACTTTTAGGGTTCTGGTGGCAACATATTCCTCATTTATAAATTTTACTTATAAATTAAAATCAACAGGCAATCTCACTAGCACCTTCAAAAATAAAAGGTAGGCCGGATGTGGTGACTCACACCTGTAATCCCAGCACTTTGGGAGGCCAAGGTGGGCAGATCACCTGAGGTCAGGAGTTCAAGACCAGCCTGGCCAACGTGATGAAACCCCATCTCTACTAAAAATACAAAAAAAAAAAAAAATTAGCCAGGCATGGTGGCAGACACGTGTAATCCCAGCTACTGGGGAAGCTGAGGCAGGAGAATCGCTTGAACTCAGGAGGCAGAGGTTGCAGTGAGCTGAGACTGCGCCACTACACTCCAGCCTGGGTGACAGAGTGAGACTCTGTCTCAAAAAATAATAATAATAAAATAAAAAATAAAAGGCTTTGGCAACCTCTTCTCATGCCTCATGGTGTCTACGGACCACTTATGATGGCCATTGGTTGCCCCACAACTTCTGATAGCAAAAATTGCCCCTCTTGGCCTTGTCCTACATTCCACTAAAACAGCCAACTGCTGGCTACCCTCTGGGTTCTCCTGCAAACAGAGGCTCTCACAGTCCCTGAGCCTGTGACTCTGCATTCCCAACTTCCTGTTATGCTGTGGGTCATGGAACCTGTACCCCCACCAGCTCAGCACAGCTATAATGGCCTCCCTAAGACAGGATGGATCAAAACCTGGGCCCCCTGGCATATTCCACCTACAGGAGGGGGTGCCTTCCTTGTTCTCAGCCCCTTTTCATATGCCAGAGTGTTGGAAGAGCTCACCCCTTTTACAGAGCCCTTGGCTACCTGAAAGCTCATGAGATTCCCTGAGTGAACAGTAATGGGAGTTTGTAGACTGTACAGATGGCACTGCTGACCATCCTATGTGGTGGAACTTGGTGGAATGTTACCGCCTCCCATCCCTTAGCTAAGATGTCCCTGATAAAGGATGGGACCCAAGAAACAGACTTGGCCAAGCTTCAGGGAGTCATCTTGGCCCTGGATGCCCTGGCCAACAAATGGTCAAATTGATTAGAAACAATCAGGTCATTCTCTAGAAATTGTCCCCTTCAAGGTAAAGAGCTCTGGGATATTGTTGCCTCACAGATACCCAAAAGACATCAAAATCACACATTTCCCCACATTCTAAGGCCACACTATAAGGCCTTTCCAGAACACTTTTAATTCCCTTCAAAGTTACAGACATCACTGGTAGTAACCAAAACACATTTTACTTCTTAGAATACACCATGATGCTGGGCTCTTGAGAAAGGCATTCACTAGAACTTTCATGCCCCTGACAGGTCCCTGATAACCAGTTTAACTCCAAGACACAGTGATGTTTTCAAATAACCTCTTTTCCAATTCCAGTCCAACACATAAATCACTAAAATTCTCTATCTTGCCCCAGGCGTTAACCTACTTTTTATAAATCTTCTATCTTCCATCTTACCCCCATCCCATAAGATTGAGGGAACATGCTCTCCTAGAACTCATTAACTGTGGACCAACAGGCAGGCAGCTGCTCATCTGATACAGAACCCACTTAAAATTAAACTTCCACCAAAACCAAACCAAACAGAAGCCCTGCCAGGGAGAGCTGCCCACGTCTGTTGACTGCTGATCTTATTACTACTGCTTTGGATACTTTCACTGGTTTACAGTCCGGAGGTCTACAGCATCCATTCCAGGGGACACCCACTCAAAAAAGAGACCACAGTCCCATATCCCAGACAACATCACCCTAGCCCAAAATCCAACTGCTGGAAATGACAGTGCCTCAGATAACATTGCTCCAACCCAAGACTTCAGTCGATGCTGGAGATGACCTCACGTCCTGTACCAGACATGACTTCGCCTCTTACAGTGAAACCTCCACCCGGCAGTGCTTGCCAATGGATTGCCTCTTCTAAGGCACACGATGGACACAGAGCATCTTTGCTTTTCTTCCTGAACTCCTGTGTGCTTGGCCCACAATCCTGGTATTTTCTTTGCTCTCTGCTCAAATGTACACCCCCATACTTCCATTTTTAAAGGCAAATCTGGCAATGGTTATGAAAAGTAAAAGAGATGATTACTTTTCCCAGGAGGCACCTGCCTCATATCAGTCAACCCTCTGACCTCCCGAGGAGAAGACCACCTGGCTGCCCTCTCCTACTAACCACTTCCAGCCTTCTACCACAACTCCCTGCCTTGCATCTCCAACCCACAGCCACCATTCCTCTTGGTTACACACAATACCACTAATCTTTACATATACTTTACTAAATTATCAGTTCATAATCTCCAACAACATAACCGCCCTACACTAATGTTTAATTCACTGGTTAAATGATCACATTCCCCTTGCAGTCAATATCTCCACCACTCACACTACACCTGGCTTCTGTTTTTTAAAATGACGTAAGGCACCAGCACCATGAGAGGAAGAGTCATACATTCGTTTAATCTACGTGCTGCCTCAAGCACCCATTTTTAGGGCTGACATACGCTGTTGGAAACCCAGCCATACCCCGCCACCTTTGGCCTAGAGGAAACGTTTCCTCCTCGTGTGGCTGTGTGTGACATGGCCAGTGTGTTCCTCATCTCATTAATCCAGAACACAACACCTCCCACAGCTGCTGCTCACAATAAAACCTAATGGCCAACGCCAGAGTCATGCTAATAAGTTGCCCCCTTCACACATTTTTTTAAAACTAGCCAATCCACAACCCCCTCAGGAAAGCCTAAGGGATAATGCCCATAGAACTTAATAAAGGCACAGCCAGCAGGTTCTCTCTATCTCTCCCTGTCTGTCTGTCTGTCTGTCTGTCTCTCTCTCATTCCCTCCTCTCCCAGCTGTTTGAGCTCCCTGCAATCTCTAGACTTCCTCTTCAGCCTCCCGTTGGCACCGCTAACCTCTCCTGGATCTGTAAGTAACATATTTCTTCTATTTCATGCATTTTACATTCACCTCCTCATTGCGTCTCACCTGAACCACACACCCAAACCTAACTTTTCCCAATCAGGGCTCTCCTAGAGTGGCTGTCTTGGCTTATGGCCACTCTTGACAGACCTCAAGACCAAATTAGAAAGAACCCATAACCATAAGAATCACAACACCCTGTCCTCCCTCATCTCTCCAGTGCACACATTCCAACCAGACTCAACACTCCCTATTGAATTTGCCCAACTTTTGCCACCTCTGTGCCCCTATGCAAGTGACTCCCCTGCCTAGGATGCTCTCCCTCCTTCCCTATCAAGCACGCACTACAATCAGATCCATCAGATGGGCCATCAGTGATCATCTCAAGTGACACCTCGTCCATAAAGACTTTCCTAGTCCTTCCAACTAGAAATAATCCCATCCGTCTCCTAAATCCCATCACATTAGATTTCGTTTGTCTCTTCTTTGCTTCTACCTTGCAGCGTCAACTCCAGAGTGTCTCTGGGACCCTCTGAGCTGCAGTCTGACTGGAAGAAAAGGCCAGAGACTGGCCTTAGGTAGCATTTGCACAAGTGCTGTGTTTTATTAGAATTCTACGCGGAGGGTTGCTGATGAGGACAGATAATGGAGCTGCTATGCAATGCCCCCTCAACCCTAGCCACCGAGGCCTATTTACTCCTTCTTTCTCCCACTAGACTGCAAGCGTCTAAGGACAGGGGCTGTGTGCCTCAGGTCAGCACCCTCGGCAGCGTCGAGCCCAGTGCGTGACATGGAGGAAGTGCTTGCCACAAATGCCTCTGGGAGGCATCCCTGCTGGAAGGAAACACAGCTTCTTCTGGTCTGTGCAGAACAAGTAAGTCCTAGCACCTACTCCCGGTTCTTGGCTCACTAAAGCCAAGGGTGGGAGTCAGTCAGTCCTTCCTCAGTAGGTTCCGAGGACAGTTGCTGACTTGCTCTTTCTTTAAGGTGCCTTTTACTTTTGAACCTGAATTTTTCTAGAAAAATGTAATAGGCAGGGCACCCAATCCAAAGGGATGGCCCCCAGTGGCAACCCTGAGTAAAGTAAGGCCAATTCACTGTCACATTGCTTGGTCAATTTCACTATGAATCCACGCTCCGAGGACGCACTCTTGCCCAGTAGGCACCACCCCTCACTGGCAACAGAGAGACAGCAAATTGCTCCGCACCCCAGTAGCACAGGCTTTCCCTGCGCCGGGTGTGGTGCATCCCAGGAGAGCTTTCTCACACCAGGTGGCATCCAGGTGGATCTGGCGACCGCCCAGCAAGCATGTATCCCCTCTCACAAAAGGGAAGAAAAGGAAGAGTGGCCAAGAAGGGGTGGAAACCCCAGTTTTCCTCTATAAATGTGACGCCGGATTTTAACCTCTCCCTCGGCAAATCTACATATCAGACAAAAAAGAAACTAATATAGATATTAGTCTTGTACTGACTTAGACTTTCACTTACCCCGCCCCTTGTTTCTTAATGGCCTTTTTTCTTTTTTTTAAACTCTTGTACCTAGGTTAGCCTGTTTCCTGTTCATATTAAGGAATCCAGGCCCTTTGCAGTAAAGAAAGCCAAGGATACCCTGGAGCTTTATATTAGGAATGTTTCTAGATTGTTGGTTGAAAGCATGTCCATTTCTTAATTTGCACCCTAAACACACTTCACGGCTTCATTTAAATCTGAGCACTCTGTGTATTCCAACTGCCTATGCAGGGTTCTAACTTAACCAAGTACTTAACGAGTAGCATTAATATTCGTTGTCTTCTCCACGGGTGCCTGCACTCATCAAGGTAAATAGTTACCGGCTACCTCCACGGCCCTTGATTGAGCTGAGAATTGTCTGTCCTTATCTAGACAGTGGATTGTTTGTCCCCCACCATGGGAAAACCCTGCTGGTTACTTTCCAAAGGCCTCATTTTAAAAAGACACGTTTCCACTTACAGACCTTTTAAAAATGCCAGGCAATTTGGAAGAACAGTAAGAAATCTACTATCTGCGTGACAGTCATTCAGAGATTCTTGTAGTGTGCCAGGCACCATATTAAGTGCTAGGAATGCAATGATGACTCCAAGGAGTCCTGGTTCCTGCCCTCATGATGCTTATGGTACGGTGGGAGAGGCCAACATGTAGGGAAAGGTCACTCTAATGAGCGCCTAATTACCGAGTGAGCTCAGTGTTAGGAAGGAAAGGCACGGATGTGAGGACTCCCTAGAGGGTGGGGAAGATGTTGGAGCTGAGCTATGAAAGATGAAGAAATTGGTTATTCACTGAATGTCAGGGCACAGAATGTCAGGGCAGGAAGACCACACACACACACACACACACACACACACACACACACACACACACCCTACTATTCATAGATGAGGAAACTGAGGCCCAGCAGAGCTAGATGACTTGCCGAAGGTCAGAGCTAATTCTAGAAACCCATCCCCAATCCCTTCCTGCTAAACCACTTAATTTTATTTATATCCCAGCTATAGATTATACAAATACACTTGACAAATAAAACGGAGAATATTGAGTTAAAACCACATCTCTGAAGACCACACGCATAAATAACGATCGTGTTTTAATGCGGACGATACCTTTTCATTTTGCAAATCCAGAGTTCTCATCATATCAAAATTCAAGACAGTTTGTTCTGTAAGAAGGGGAAGGTCATAACCCTGTCTAGAATGTACTGGCAAATCTCTCTAACCGTGCAGTGCTAATTTGGGCCTGAGCTGTGTAACCAGACCGACTTCACGCTCCAGCTGGGGTTTCAGATCCACACATGGCGATTGGGTGGCTCTTTGCTGTTTCACAGCAAGGGTCCTTCCCTGGGCTCCCGGAGCCTCTGGGGATTTACTGCTCCCGACGTGGCCGTGTTCAAGCCACTGTGTGCATGCGCTTAATGTTGAAAACATTCTTTTGAAAAGCCCAGGAGATTCCACTCGCAATCTGTGCGTGTGCATGTAAAAGCGCAGAGACTGGAAAGAACCGCGGCAGAGCACACCCTGACCGAAGGTTACCGCGGGGGAGCCGCGGCCGTGGGAGAGCCGCGGCCGTGGGAGGGAGTGCGATACGGTCTTTTCACTCTAGACACTCCTGAGTTATGTACAATTCTACGCAAGAATGTATGCGTGTGTTAGCATGTAATACATATGTATTAGTTTTTTCAGGAAGATTCTTAAACAACAACAAAATCTCTATAGAACAAAGGTGCGTCTCCGCAGAGCGCAACAGCATTTGTCTTGGATGTAACCGCCTTCTCCAGAAATCTCAGAGGAACTCCCCTCGACCACCGCCTAACTGAAGGACACCGTGCGCTCCACCGCAACCCTGCGGGCGATTCGGAAAGTTGGAGGCGCCCCGGGGAGTCGCCGCACTTGCCGCCCGCGCCCCCTAACCTGAGCATTCAAGGAGTCTTGACTTGGCCGCTGGCGCACTCCGCACCCACCCAGCCGGTGCTGATGCGGGAGGGTGGGGCCGCGGCGGGGCGGGGCAACGCGAGCCCGCACCCCGCTCCTCCCCGCCCCTCCCTGCCGGCCCCGCCCGCGCGCGCCCCCCGCCCGCGGCCCGGGCGCCCGGCCCGCCCCCTCCCCTCGGCGCGCAAACGAACCTCGCGACGCCGCGCTCGGCGGCGGGCGGGGGCCGGGCGAGGGAGGGGGCTGGTCCCGGCCGCCCCACTCTGCAGTTGTCTCCCGAGCGCTGGCTGCGCCGCCCGAGCCGCTGGGCCGGGGAAGCACTGGCCGTTCGCTCCCGGGCCGGCTCCGCCAGGCGCTCGCAGGCATGCAGCCCGGGAGCAGGAGGCGCTCCCCGGGCCGCTGCTGAGCCGGCCGGGGCGGCGGGGACCAGCGCCAGCGGAGCCCCTCCCACCTTGCCCCGGGGCAGACGAGCGGCGCCCCGACACCCCCTCTTCTCCCGCAGCCCCGCCAGCGCCACCCCCCGCGGGCCGCAGGGGCTCATGCAGCCGCCAAGGTAAGCGCGGGTCGGGAGCCGGGCAGACCCGGCTCTGACATCTCCGAGGCGCCGCCGACACATGCCGGGGCCACGGCGCTGCTTTGGTCTTCCTTAGCCCCGCGTCTCATCTTGCTCCCATCTTGCCCACATTTGGAGCTTTGCTGCGCCTCTATCGCTTTAGCTGTTGGCAGCAGGAAAGTTTTTGTGGTTTGGTGTTTGTTCTTTTTTCCTAAAATACTCTCCCCCGGGCAGCCGCCAGCGCGCGTGGTTGGGCAGACCCGGCACACGTCCCTTACACCGTGTGCGGGCTGGGAGCTCCTTCCCTCAGCCCGGCTCGCGGAGCCCCGGACGGAGCCGGCCACCCGACTGTCCCGCCGTGAACCCCCATTGGCCCGCGCCGCCCGGGCCCCCGCCTCCCGCTCGACGCCCGGCTGCGGAGCTGCCTGGCCATCTCCTGCCCTCGGGGATGTCGGCGCAGTGCACCGCGTGGGCTCGCGTCCCGGCGGCCCTTTGCCTCGGCGCGCCGGCGTACGGGAAGGTGCGGACCTTGGATTGAGGGCCGAGGATGCCCATTGCCAAGCCGCCCCGGCTTTCCTAAGTGGACGGGAGGGCACGGCGACGATTCAGCGCCGGCTCGCGCCGCAGCTCAACCCAGGGTACAAGCCCGGGCATGGGGGACAGGTGTATTCAATGGGAGGGCGGGTGTGGGGGACGCTCGGGTGCAATTCGGGATTGCGTCTTATTAATGTAATTGTATTAGACTTGCTCGGAGGTAGAATCAGTTCTCCCAAATTGAGATTTCTAATGGGAGCCTGTGAGCTGCTATTATGTGGTGTGGTTTTGGGAGGTGTTGGGTTGTATTTATTTTATAAATTGGGTGTCTCGCGGGCGGAGTAGGGGAAGTAGCGCCATCTAGCGGAAGTGGTGAGCTGTGCATTCCTCTTAGGCTGCGAAGTTGTTGGGTGTTCTCAAAGTAGTCTCCCGCACAAGGTGGAGAGGCGGGAACCAGCCCTCGCCTCCAGGAAGGAGGCTACAGAAGCTCTCTGAGTATCGACGGTACCAGGGAGAACCCCGACCTCCCATGCTCAGCACATTGAGCTCAGGGGACGAAATTGCGGGTCGTGTTGAGTGGCATGCTGTCACCTAAAGGAGCTCCATCACCTTCTCTGTTTGGTTTTAGACTCTTCCAGCAAAAACGTAATATAAAATGTTAACTGCTGTAAGAAGATGCCCCTTCCGCAGGTATCTGGTGCAGAGATCTTGAAAACCAATGCACAAACCTCTGTCTTCTCCTGTGCATCACAAACGGGTGATTTCTTGGGTGGATTTTGAGCCATGACCCCTAGAAAAGAGAGTAACTGTGCTCCGAAGGGCAACAGGAGGAGAACTGGGAGAGGGCCTCCTGCCCATTTGTGCAGGAACAGAATAGTGTACCCAAACTGGGTTTTGTGGTTTTTTTTTTTTTTTTTTTTGCACATACAAAGAAGGGGTTTCTTGCTGTTACCACAGCAAGTGACAAGCAAGCCCCCTTTACAGGGACATGATCTCCAATTAACAACTGGGGCAGACGTGGCTGGATGGCAAGTTCTGCAGACAAAGGCTCTGGGTGGGGCACCCACACATCCAGGCGGGCTCCACGTTCTCTGTGGCTGGTTTTTGCTGCCACCTTCCAGGCCAGATAATATATTAGCAGTGAGCTGGGCTCACCCGGTTCTGAAGGGCACCCTGGCCCCTTGTAGAGCAGTGTAGTGGTCTACTGTAGTACCCCCTTGAGACTCTCTGGGCTGTGCTGGTAGTGAAAGAGGTCTTAGCCTCCTTTTTTCAAGTACCCTGCTTCCATTATTTCCCTCCCAGGTGTCAGACAGTTGCTTACATTCTCCAATAGACATATGAAATGGTGGGTGGCTGGTCTGCCCCGTCATGCTGTCTCAAACTGTGTCTCCATTGGTAGGTATTTATGTCATCATGAGACTTGTGACAGACGAGGTCTTAGAATAGCTTGGCATCTCATTCAAGGAGGGCACCTTTGACTTTTGCTAAGAAACCTCTGCCTGCTTTCTCTTTTTACAAACCTCCTCCAAGGAATAACTTGCTGCTTCCCAGTGTATGTAATAATAGACAATAAAGGCACAAGAATCTCCTTTTTAATACAATCCCTTGCTCTTCAGCAGCCCTGTGAGAAGCCAAGCCCAAGAATTCTTAGACGAGCAGTTGCAAAATGAAATAAATAGGGACTGAGCATCCCTGACACTGGGACAGGGAGTTTTTCAGCCATTCTTCCAGGGATGCTTGCTGCTCCCAGGAAGCAGGCAGGAATGGGTGCTGGTATTTTCAGTTTCTCAGAAGAAACTGATGGCCAGAAAGCAGAAGGGATATGGCCAGTGTTCTGTGAGTCTAAAGTGCGTTTTTCCCCCTACAACCTTGCTACCAAATGAATTAAGTTCTAGCGCTTGTTTTTACCAAGTATGGTTGCAAAATTTGTTCCTGCCTTGAAGCATGCAGTATAGACATGAAAGAAGGCACGGTCACCGATCCATCAAGAAGCCTGCCATCCAGGGAAAGAGGCAGGAAGTATCCAAGTGCAATTGAGCAAAAACATAGAAGGATTATCTGAAAGCAGCGCAGGCAAATTGGAATCTGTTAGTTCTGTGAAACGAAATGACACTACTCCTTACAGGTAATTATTCTAGAACTTGACTTATAACATCCCAAAGGTAAGTTTAGTTAACTTTTAAGTGTCTGTGGTGTTCCTGTGGCTCTTTTAGGGAATGGCTTTGCTTCCATTATGTAGCCATTCCACAAACTTAACTGAACATAAATTTAACCTGAAGAAGGGAAGCTCCAGGTTTCCCCACCTGTTTGGTATCCAGCCTATCCAAAAGACAGGCTCCTCTTTTTCTTATTTTGAGCAAATGACTGCTCAGTTTCAGCCTCTCTTCTCTTAGCAACAGAGCTATAAAGGAGCAATGAATAGGGCAGTGGAAAAAATTAAGGATTGCCTTACCCAAGTATGCATACAAGGCCAGGCAGAAGTCAGTTTCCTTGGTGACAGATGAACAAATGAACTCTATTGAAAGGATACCCAGTTTCTTAGCCAGGTCCGTCCTGTGAGTAGAAGTGCTGTATCATGTTAGAACCCAGGGGTCAGGAGGCAAGAATGCCTAGTGAGGTGTGAAACTTTACAATTCTTAGGGCAGGAAGAAGAAGGAATTTTAAAAGTAGGGCAGAAATTGACAAAATAAATGCAAATGTCTTTTATAACCTCATATAAAAAGTTTTAAGTCACTGGTAACTGACTAACATAAAAATGTACTATGTACCTACCCAACTTACGAAATGATTATATCCAGATTACCACAGTAAATAATGGAAGTGTAGCAAACAGTTTATGCAGAGAGTGACTACAGAATTGCTGGTTGGATTTACTTTTCTCATTTTTCAGTTGCTTGTTTAAAGCAGTGCTATGAGGTGAAGAACTTTCAGAAAGCAAAATACTGGATTTCCCAGAGCCTGAAAATTAGGCAGAAGGTTTAAAGACTCTGTCAACTATCTGGTCAAAGGAGGCCAATTCCCATAGGTTCTGTGTCCTCTGTGGGCCAAAACAGAGATCAGCGGGTATGAGTAAAAACGCCCCAAAACTCATTGACTTCTGTCTTGGCAGGACATTTTAGTAGTTACCGTCTGTTGTGGCTTCTCCTTATATTTCATTTTTTCATCTTCATGGACTCTTAAGATCAGGGTCTTTGGAGCAGCTCACCCTGGCTGACAGGAACAGTTTGCTCTGTTTCCTGGTAATATTCCATTCTTCTGTCCTTGTGAAACAGAGATATTCTGCCTAATTTCTCAGTAAGAGTTTTGATAACATTATTTTATTCTTAGTGTACATTTCTTCTTGAAGATGGATGCAACCCATTTTTATCCTTTGTAGGTATTTTGAAGAATTTTCTCCTTGATGTCTTTAAACAAGATTAGGTGGAAGCATGCAACGTACATATACCTACCCCTGAAGGCCCCTACACATCCCTCACATTACTAGTATTGTCAGCCACAGTGCATACTCTTCTTTAGGATTCACTCCCCTATTAGACTTTTATACTTTTCTCAACTGATCTGCACCATGATGTGTCTCTCCTCTCCAGATTGTCTATTCAAAAACCCTGAGATAGCCAGGCACGGTGGTTCACTCCTGTAATCCCAGCACTTTGGGAGGCCAAGGCGGGCAGATCACTTGAGGTCAGGGGTTCGAGACCAGCATGGTCAACATGGTGAAACGCCGTCTCTACTAGAAGTGTAAAAACTGGCCGGGTGTGGCGGCACATGACTGTAGTCCCAGCTACTCCGGTGGCTGAGAGAGGAGAGTCGCTTGAACCCAGGAGGCGGAGGTTGCCGTGAACCAAGATCACACCACTGCACTCCAGCCTGGGCAACACAGCCAGACTCCATCTCAAAAAAAAACAAAAAACAAAAAAACAAAAAAACCTTGACATCTGATCGTTTGAGGTGCTTTCACAAAGTTTGGTTCTCTCCATCAAAGTCTGACCCACTTATAAGCTTGTAAGAATAGAAGACCTTGCTGATGAATGCCTTGCCGGAATACCATTCTGCCCGTTCAAATGCTCATCCAAAAGAGGCTTGCTCAAAAACGTCTCCTGGGCAAATGCTGGGTTCCTCTCAGTGACTTAGAAATGTGTTGCCAGTGTGCATTTTCAGCTCTGACAGTGGCAGCCTGAAGAATAGATTCCCCTTACAGGAACATAGCCACGGAACTCTCTCTTCTTCCACGCAGGTTTTTTTCTGGTTGTCAGAGCACACAAAAATGCCCATTTCATTCATAGAATCGTAAAAAGTTACAGGGTTTCCTCAAAATAATTAGTACCTTGAAAATAATAATTAACATTTGTTTGGAAGTTTTGGTGTCTAATGTGCTTTCATTTACATTTTAGTTTAATATCCTTTATGGAAAGAGGTAAAGTATAAATAATAAATAGATTCTTTTGTGCAATTGCATTTTCCTAGGTGGGCTCCCATTTATTGATACAAGGGAAGCAAAGCAAAAAGAGAAGCAAAGCAAAAAGAGAAGCAAAGCTTAGAGGCTGGGCTCACCTGTAGACGTTACGAAGTTCATGATGGCATTCCCTCACAGGTCCAGCCCTGCTAATAACCCCTCACTGCTGAATTTGGGCAGGTCATTTTTGCCTCTGAACATGAGGCTCCTGTGAGTTTAATTTATTTTGTTGTATATCAGTCAGTGCAACTAAAATAGTCTGACATTCAGATTTCAGAATACTGATTTCAAAATGCTTCTCTTGGCTGGGCGTGGTGGCTCACATTTATAATTCCAGCACTTTGGGAGGCCGAGGTTGGCTAACTGCTTCATCTCAGGAGTTCGAGACCAGCCTGGCCAACATGGTGAAACCCGGTCTCTGCTAAAAAATACAAAAATTAGCCGGGCATGGTGGTGTGCACCTGTGGTCCCAGCTGCTCGAGGGGCTGAGGTGGGAAGATCGCTTGAACCTTGGAAGCGGGGGTTGCAGTGAGCTATGATCATGCCATTACACTCCAGCCTGGATGATAGAGTGAGACTTTGTCTCAAAAAAAATAAAAAAAGCTTCTCTTGCTTTCCTGAAACACTTGGTTTTGGTTTTGTAGAGTCTTTGGGTATCCCAAGATCATATGACAAAAAAAGCTACATGTCACCTTCTTCCATGCTATGAGAGTTTTACATTGCTGTTATTTTTCTCTGATAAGGAGCATTTTGAGCAAGTAGATACCTAAGCTCCAGGTGTCTGATTTCTTCATGAGTAAATGGATGCTGTTGGCAGGGTCTCCTGACTTCAGGCCTGGTGGAGAACATACTGGCCCTCTGAGCCTCGGCCGGGAGTCAACAAGAGCAAGGCAAACCCAAGCCAAGATGGCGCACAGGCCCTCCCTTTCTGGGTCAGTGACCAGTCTCTAAAGGCTGAAGCCCATCTGGCTTAAAACTTGAGATGTGCTGTGAGAGGCTTGTGGACTGAAAGAACTCCAATGAACTGATACTGTGGATAGGTTTACCTAAATATCTTCCTGTTGTTTAAGTAAATCTATTTAACTCACATTCGAAGGCTAAGTACTCTATGAATACGTGATCTACAGAATGTCACTTACCATCCAAAAGAAAGACAAACAATTCCATAATCTAATTATTTCAATTTCTTTGGTCTCTAGGATGGATGGGGGAGATTGTTCACGGAAATTTTTCTCTTCTTAAAAAGTTTTTATATTTTTTGTTAATGTCTGGAAAACAGTATATCTCTAAACATATTCCCCTTTCTAATGCATGAGCCGTCATTCTACATGTGGGGCATATTATTGGACTGACAGAAATAAATAAACCATGGGTGAAGATGAGAAGCAGCTGTAGTTTGGTGGGAAAAACACTGCACTTGGCATCTCAAGACCTGGGTTTGAGCCTCTGCACGGCTGCTTGTATTTATGGTCCTTAGACAAGACTTAGAAATGAGTCTGTCTCGTTTGTGAAATGGAAATGGCTGTGCCCGTGGCATAGTTAAGATGACGACGCTGGTTACATGGGGGAGTTTTTTCTAGTAGGTGCCCATCAGGCCTCAAGTATAACTGAAAATGAACTTAAAACCCACCTAGAAGTCAAGGTTATCCGTGAGTCCTTGCAGAACTCTGCAGAGCTCTCCCAAGATCCTGTACATACAAAGGCTGTAGCTGAATCTGGCACATAGTAGGCACTATTGTAGTCCAAACAATAGTTCCTGTCCATGATATAAAATGAATATTGGCAACTACTTATCAAGACTTACTCTATGCCAGGCATCTGTTCTAAGTGGTTATGATTGTATTGACTCATTTAATCCTCACAACAATCTTTTGATAGATCTGCAAATATATCCCTATCTTACGGATGAAATAACTGAGCTCTAGAGAGTCTGTGTTCGGACTGCATGTTCTTAGCCCAGCATGCTATATTGCCTCTGTAATATAAAAGTGAAGAAATTCCCTTAGCCTTGACAAATTTAAGAAAGAAAAACAATGGTGGAAGTGAATGTCACATAAGGTGACACATTTGTTCTTCTTTCTGGATTGGCACTTTTCCCCACCTCCCATCAGCTGGGGATTGTCTCTATTTCAGCTTTGCTTAGCCATTCTAAACAGTTTTGAATTTGATGAACAACTTGGTTATCTGTTCTTATTGCTAAATGTCTATGGTATTTGTGCTTGGCACTAAATTATTCATTAATCCAAATACTCCAGCCTTCTGTTGGTTGAGAGAGAGACAGACTCACTGTCGGTTCAGACAGTTGCCATTTGGTGGATAAATGGTTCCAAGACAGTTCTTCTCCC
Organism: Homo sapiens; assembly: GCF_000001405.40. Classification (NCBI taxonomy): domain Eukaryota; kingdom Metazoa; phylum Chordata; class Mammalia; order Primates; family Hominidae; genus Homo; species Homo sapiens. The sequence continues at coordinate 93,081,586 of NC_000015.10, read as the reverse complement.
AAGAACTTACCGGAATGGGGAGACATAAGCGCTGTGTGGTCTGTTCTCTTTTACGGGAACCTGGTGTGTCTTGTGTATGCATACCCAAAAGCTGCTTTCAAACTTCAGGCGGTTGCTGAATGTTTCTAAGGTATGGTTTCAGGTATACTATAGTATTGTTGGGCATTATTACTGAATTTCATGGTGACATCAAAACATAAGAAATGTCACTCTTCAAATGACATTTCCTACGTGCTTGGCCACATTTTAACTTGGGGACTGCAGAAGTGTTACAGATGAGGCCTCAGAATGGCTCCCCACAATCAGGTGTGGGCAAGGCTGGTTAGTTACAGAGCCAGTATCTATTCACCGGATCCCTGGAAACAGGACTCTGGAGGTTGGAGATCTCCTGGGGCAGCCAGGCTGTGATTCTGCAGATTGAGAAGCTGAGGGGCTGAAGATAGGACAGGGCGTGGTGCCACACAGCTGGAGTTAGGACCACCCCAAATCCCAGGTCTCTGTCTTTCCCCATATTCAGTGGCAGTGTCTTGAAGCTTTCCATCTCAACACTGACAATTAAGCAATTCATAAATACTATTGCTTTTGTACTGGGTTTTGCAGGCAGAAGAATTTGCAAACTTGGAGACCAGATAGTAGGTGTGATAGGAAGTCTCAGACAAGAGTTTTAAGAAGAAAGCGGTGGTCGGGGGGAGACTTTCATTAAGAAAGTGTAGTTATACCCCAGTTTATAGTCCCAGTAAAAAGAAATGGGAGAAGTAGGGAGAAAAGAAACACGGCTGCTCCAAGAGGTTACTGAGAATATGGGAAGTCGAGAAGGACAGGTGTGAAAGAAGGAAAGAGGGTCATACATCCAAATACCACGGAAGGGTGGCCATGGAAACTGCTGGCCAACCAGCAGGAAGGCCCCAGCCCAGCCCAGCCTGAACTGAGCCTGGGGCAGCAGAGGTCAAAGGGAGCACAGAGGGAGTCGTTGCTTCTGTTCAGAGCAAGAGGATGGAGTAGGGTTAGTAGAGGCAGAGAGAAAACGAAAAGCCCCGTGCCTGGGGAGCAGCTGTGATCTCATCAGAGGTGGCCTGGCAGCTGGGAGTCACCCAGAGCTGCCCAAACCTCACTCTGTCACCAAGCCTGCTGGGTGACCTCAAGCAGGTTACTTACCTTCTGCAGTGTAAGTTTGGGTGAATGTGCCAAAAACCCCATCTCCACAAAAAATACCAAAGAATGACCCAGGCGTGGTGGCGTGTGCACCTGTGGTCCCAGCTACTCGGGAGGCTGAGGAGGAAGGATCGCTTGAACCCAGGAGGTTGAGGCAGCAGTGAGCCATGATTGTGCCATGCTACTCCAGCCTGGGCGACAGAGCAAGACTTTGTCTCAAAAAAATAAAATTAAAAACCCATTAAAATTTTGGAATAAAATCCAATACTTGGCAATATTTGGTAATTTTTTAATTAAAAATTTTAGTTTAATTTTTAAATGAAAACTTTTAATTTTGGTAAAATTTTTAAATTTTTGGTAGTTTTTTCTTCTTGGTAATTATGTCTTAATTACCAAGAATAAGAGTCTCTGGTGGTGAGGGAAGGAGCATCAAAGCTCAGGTGATATTCTTTACACAGAGAGAAAGGAAGCCTCAGATAATGAAGATGGCAGCAACATCCTCGTAGCCAAAATGTACAACTGTCCTTTCATGTGGCACCTGTGTCCACAGGCATGCACCCTGTACCTCCCGCCCACAAGGGGAGTCCACCCTACCTGAGAAGCGTCCTTTTTTTTTTGAGACAGAGTCTCTCCGTTGCCCATGCTGGAGTGCAGTGGCAGGACCTCTGCTCACTGCAACCTCCGCCTACTGGGTTCAAGTGATTCTCTTGCCTCAGCCTCCGAAGTAGCTGGGGTTACAGGTGCCCACTGCCATGCCTGGCTAATTATTGTATTTTTAGTAAAAATGGGGTTTCACCACATTGGCCAGGCTGGTCTCAAACTCCTGACCTCAGGTAATCGGCCCGCCTCGGCCTCCCAAAGTGCCGGGATTACAGGTGTGAGCCACTGCACCTGGTCAGAAGGGTCATTTTAAATAGCCACTTTTGCAGAATATATACTAAAAAAGTATTATTATGAAGCACACTTTATAAAGTCTTAACTAGCTGAACGAAGCACAATGTGTTCTCTAAAAAGAACATGAAACCCAACCAATCTATTAGCATTCTTTAAGGAGTCAGAAACAGGCCTGGAGACGAGGGAGAAACCCAGGATGAATTCTGTTTAGACTTTCAAAATTCCTTCTGACAAAGTTCCATCCCAAAGGTCATTTACAATAGTAAGTCTCTCCAGCATGTGCGGGGAAATTGCCGTGGATCAGAATTATCCTTAGAGACAAGAAATAAAAAATAGGATAAACAGGTACTTTTCTGGATGAAGAATTATTAACAGTGAGGATCCCCCAGGAACGTGGGTGCATCCAGACTTAGTTTAAATTTACATGGATTATCTGAAGAAGAGAAAGCTCAGATGGTTCCAGGCTTTGGGATGAAATGAAGACTATGCAGAGATGGCAAACAAATGGTGATTAACTGCAGGATGAGCTTAGGAGTTAGCAAGAACATGCATATTAAGCTTTTGCAGGCGCAAGTCTGTTAATGCATTTATGAGAACATAATCCAAATTACAGGAAAATGGACTTTGTCCAGTCTGTTTATAGCCACAAAGGAGGATCCTTGGGGTCTTTGCAAAATGTTTGTTTGCTACAGGCCACTCAGGACCAAGTGTTCAGAAAATGCTAAAATACTGTCAGAAACGATATTGGAAAACAAGCGAAAAATAGTATTCTACCTGGGCTCTACCCAAACCTGGCAGTTGTATTCTCTTCCCCTTGAGAAAAATCTCTCAGAACTGCAGAAGGTGAGCAATGTCATCACCTGAAGTTCTTCGCAAGAGGCCGGGCTGCTTTGTACCTTAAGGGTTTTAGTGTGGAAAGATGAAGCCAGAAAGGCGATATGATCAAAGTCTATAAAACCTTGAAGGTTATGGAGAGAGAGAACAAGTACTGATTCATCAAATCTGAGATGACCAGACCCCAGGACGGCCCTTAAAGTCTGAAAGAGGAATTTGAAGGATAAATTAAAAATAAGGATCCGTTCTCACACTCTGAGTTGTAAATTGAAGCAACTCAGTTCCTCAAGACATGGTCTGGACAAACATTTTTCAGGACATGGGGGAATGGGTGGTTACTCAAGAAATGTTGTCAAATTCTTGGTCAGTAAGTGAATGGTGGATTAAGAGCCATTGGTAACATATCCCTACGCTTGCGAGGTTGGCAAAAATACCTGGAACCAGTGTTGGGTCGTTTCCTCCATATTAGACAGGGATCTGTTAGAGAAATCTAGATCAAGCTAGTTTCAGCAAAATAAGGAATTTTTCTCAGCTTCCATAGCTGGAAGAGGTACTAGGGTAGCTCACAGGAGCTCAGGAAGAGCTGCAGGAGAGTCATATGCTGAAGAGTGGCTTGGGGAGGCTTAGCCTAAATAAAGTCTTCATCACTCCCCAAAAAGCTCACCTGATAAAATACAACTTAAGTAAAAACAAGATGTCAGCTGGGCACAGCGGCTCATACCTATAATCCCGGCACTTTGTGCGGCAGAGACAGGCAGATCACTTGAGCCCAGGAGTTTGAGACCAGCCTGGCTAACATGGTGAAACCCTGTCTCTACTGAAAGTACAAAAATTAGCCGGGTGTGGTGGCGTGTGCCTGTAATCCCAGCAGCTCAGGAGGCTGAGACACAAGAATTGCTTGAACCCAGGAGGCGGAGGTTGCAGTGAGCCGAGGTCGCACCATTGCGCTCCAGCCTCCTGGGCGACAGGGCAGCTGTCACACACACACACTATGTCACGTCCTCAAATGCTGCCTCAACTACTAACACTCATAAACACTCACCCTCGCACAAGATTGCTGCCCTAAACCGATCCTATGTTGGAGTCGGACCAGAACTGAAGCTTCTGTAGCAACAATCTCAAGAAAGATTCTGATTGGTCCAGCTTGAGTCACTTGCAATCACCATTTTATTGAAAGTAATTGTTAGGTTATCTGTCTTGGCTTGACTTTAATCCCAAGGGGCAGAAACTGACAGACCTGGGTCTTCTGTGCACCTGCCAGCAGCAAGGAGGGCATGGGCCCGAGATTGATAGAACTTACAAACCCAGCTATTCCCCTAGACATGAATCGCCTAAGGGAGCTCCTTAAAAATGCTGATGCCCAGGCTCTACCCCACAGAGATTCAGATATAGCTGCTTTGGAGAAGGGCCTGGGCAACTCTAATCTTTTTACATCTCCCACAGTGGTCTCCCAAAAGAATAAATCCCTCCCCTTCTTGAGGCTTTGGGTTGGGCTCCCAGGTGCTTCACAGGCTCCCCCAAGCTCTTTGCTCTGTTTCTCCAGCTTCACCTCTTCCTTCTACAGCCGCACTTCAGCCTTTGCAGATCCTCAGGTAAAGCACACTTTGTTCCTGGCGTGCTGGGTGTTCCTTCTGCCTGGAGTTTTCTCCCTGCCATCCCCTCCCTTGCCCGTCAACTTCCCCTGGCATACTCCTACACTGGGAAAGCTTCTTTCCCCTCCCTGCACCCCAAGCTGGGCTGGAGCCCCCTGGCGCCTGTGTTCTGTGTCTCCCCTGTCAGAGTCTGTGTTATGCTTTATTGAAAGTGATTGTTAAGTAATCTGTCTCGCCTTGACTTTAAGCCCGGTGCGGACTTGCTCACCACCATTGGAATGAATGGCACACACAGTACGCCAAGCATGGGGTTCGGCCAGCTTGGCTTGGCATTTTTTAGCCATTTATTGGGTGCGTACTTAAGCGTTCCCAGCCTCAGTTTCTTCATCTGCAAAATGAGGATGGTAATAGAATCTTCATTAGCTGAAAGTTTCTAGAAATGTAAAGTACTCAGCTGGCATCTGACACAATGTAAAAATACGTCAAAATATTAGCCATTATTTTGAAAGACACCACCTTTTTTGGTAAAGGTCATTCACTCCTCACCTCTCCTTTAGCACTCATTTTTCTCTATTATCTGTTTCTACCAGCAATTCAGAAATAGGGACTGTCTTATTTCTTTATCCCCCAAGGTCTAGCCTGCAGCAGGTCCTGAATATATATTTGTTGACTGATGACTCAGGCCCTAGATTTGAGAACACTCTGTTCATACCTAGAAGCAGGCAAAGTTGGAACCCCTGACTATCACTGCCCCTGAGAAGACTTCAGCCGTATGCAGAACCCTTCCTTTCAGAAGCCCCTTGACCCCTTTCCCCCCATCAAATAGCTACCCCCAGAGTGGAAAGGGAGAGAAGGTGGAGGGGGATGCTCAGGATTGAGGCCTCCACAGCCAGTGCTGAAGAAAAGGGGCAAGAGTCATGCATGAGAGTGTCTCTATCCCCAGGTCTAAGCTGTAGCCTAGGGGACACCACATACTTGGTTAGACTCTATGGGGCTGTTTGTTTGAAGTCAACTACACTTTTGAGTTAAATGAGTTTCTATGGCGAACGGAGTGCTGAGTTCTCAAATCTAACGTTTTAGGAATTTTTTATTCCTGCAGAGAGTTGGGGAGCTGTTTAAAAGTTGGTTGGTTTAGCCAGTATAGCTAGATTCCTCAAGGTCAACACAACGCCATACTGCTCTAGCTGGGGCTAGATTTCTCATGATAGTCTAAACTGTGTGATGGCCAAGTCCCCACTTTGAAGATGTCCAAATTCAGCCTCAGACATTTCTCCTCAAGAAAGGGGGGGAAAAAAAGCCTTTTGTGCCCCTTTCCCAAATTATTTGCTCATGTCGCAAGACTGGGGTCTCCTCCTAAAAAGGCAGCCAGTACCCGTCTCCCGGCAGGGACACTGGAACTCCCATGGCCTGGGGCCTCTTCCGAGTTCTATTCAGTTGTAGTCTTGGAGTGACAATATTATCAGCCCGATCCTTACAGATGAAGAAACTGAAATGTAGAGGTTAAAAGTCCTGCTGCGAGAAGAACCAACTGAAAAAAAAAAAATTCTCAGGCTTTACAGCAAGCAAACTTCACTATGATTTTTCACAATTCTGATTCTGTATTCTCTGGGGGTTATCTCAGTTGCTTCTTTAGGATGGGGTTCATTATGTTGTACATATATCCCAATGTGTCTGTATGAATCTTTGTCTTTTTTGGGGCAGTGTGGACGACGGGTTCTTTTTAGATACTGTTCCTAAAAAGGAATCAGTGCATACACCTGTTTGTCAAAGCACCTTTGCTTTTTGTGCAACTGCTTTATATTAACAATACTTAAAATAGCTTTGGAAAAAAAAACTACTGTATGTAATGGAATTGCAGAATATGCTGCACATGTATTTTATTTAGTTATCCTTTCTTTAAGAATATTGGATGACATTTCCTGACGTGGGAGGGAGAAACTCCTTTTTTTTTTCCTGCTTTTAAATTGTAACATAGTTGAAGATTTCTTTTTTCTGTTCTCATTGAAAAAAAAAAAAAAAGTCCTGCTGTGAAAAGTCCATTCTTGGGCAAGGGCAGCCCCAGAAGGGCGTGATTTCTGGGCTTCTGCGGGCTGCATGGCCTCCTCTGGATCCTGAGCCCTGGTCTCCAACCTGGACATGCTGCAGCAGTGACGGTGGTTAATTACTGTCCAGGTGACTTGGAATGCCAGTGATCCCTTCTCATTGGCGAGAGACTCTAGAACTAGCTCGTGAAAGGCAGACTCTAGCAAATGGTGTTAATTAGTGGAAAGGCCACTTGGTCACCTCTGTGCAGCCTGGCACAGTGCCTGCTTAGCGTGCCCCGGTGGCCGCTGGAATGGGCTGCCGTTCGGTGATGCTGCAGAATAAATTGTTGGGTCGGGCCCCAGGACTGGCCAAGCTTGAAAGGAAGAGCATTTTCGATGGTGGGCTTTCACTGGGAAAACCGTAGCATTTTGCAGACCCGTCCTGAAATGAACCCTGGTTTGGGGGAAAAATATTTAGAGCTTGTCGATCTGAGACCTCAATATTTCAGGGAAACACAGTGACACCCCCTCGTAAAGAAGAGTTGTGTCTGGCATTTCCACCTAAGGGAAGAGCAGCTTCGTGTTGCCCTGTTGCACAGCTGGCTGAGGTATGGTCCCCTTGTGTACCTGTTTTGTGGAAGCCAGATTCATAAGTCTTGCTGCTGGGGTTGTGTCTTCACAGCCATAGGGCCTTCTCCCCTCCCTTCAAACTTGCTCCTCTCCACACTCCCGACCTGGCAGCCGGAACCCCAAATGCAGCTGCAGCCCTGCAGCCTTGCACAAGCCTGTGTGGCCTTTGCAGCAGGTAAGGACTGTGATAGTGCTTAAGAGAAACCTCCAAATTGGATAAAAACCCAGAGGTGTTTTTCCCCAAAGAACCAGATGGGCAGGCTTGGGAGTGAGGTGAGGAGGGTGGCGGGAGGAGTTGGTTTGACTAAGAACACTTGCTCAGGACTATTTGTGTTTCATCCAAAAGATGTCTCTCAGGGGAAGTTACCAGTCCCTTAAATATCACAACGGCAGCAGAACTGCAGGGCCCAGGGAACCTTGGGAAGGAGATGTTTCTTTCCCAGAAAAATAAGCGACAGAGTTAGGAAAGGTCACCATACTGAAGCCCTCCCAAGTGCAGCCTTGCGGGCCTCGCAGAGAGCGCCAAACCATCCGGCCCTGCGCGCCACGCGGACCGGCATAGCCATCTCTCTGGAGTGGCAGCTGTGCCAAGGTGGCAAGGTTAGGCCCGCAGGCCCTCAGCACGGGGGCGCAGCCGGGGCAAGTCTTCAGGAAGCAGCGAGGTGCTTGAAGGGGGTGCTGGAGGCAGGCCAAACCCAGTCAGGATGGGTGGCCTGGGGCCACGACGGGCGGGAACCTCGAGGTGCGTTAGTAGCTGAGATGCAGAGAGCCATCCTGCCCAGACCTAGACAACTCGGAAGTGGGTTTTTCAGCCTCCTGCACCGGTGTCGCGTCTGAGTGCGACTGATGAGCCAGGGGGCGTCGGTGGAAGCTTGGGGTCGGCAGTCTGGTTGGAAAGTAGGGCTGGGATTTGCCTCCAAGGACAGTTTTTCTACTTGGATTGGATATTCGTGGAGGGGATTAAGGGGGCGTCCTGCCCCGCCTCATGCCCTGCGGCCTCCCAAGGGTGCTGGGCCTGGTTTGCAAGGACAGCCGCGGGCTGGAGATGGCGCGAGGGTCGGGGAGCGTGGCGCGCCCTCTGATCTAGGGCCGTGGTTTTCCGAGGTCCTCACGGCGAGCGCTGCGGCCGGGCAGCCTGGGTCCCCGCCCGGCCGCCTCCGGCTACCTCGCCGGCCTCGCTGAAACCCGAGCGCGAGGGGGCGGTGCGCAGGCGGCTGGGGCGCGGGGCCGCGTCGACATTGGCGGAGAACCGAGTGATGGATGGCGAGGGAGGGGCGCGCGGGGGGCGGCGCGGGAAGGGGAGCGCGCCGGGCGCCCGCGGCCGAGGTGGACGGAGCCTCCCGGCTCGCTGCTCCCGCCGGCGGAGCGAGGCTGCCCTTTCTTCGCAGCGTGATTTATTTTCTTCTTTTTTTCTGAACTCTTCTTCCAGGGAGAGGCTAGTGGTAACAGGCCGAGCTGGATGGATGGGTATGGGGAGAGGGGCAGGACGTTCAGCCCTGGGATTCTGGCCGACCCTCGCCTTCCTTCTCTGCAGCTTCCCCGCAGGTAAGGCACTGCCGGCCGGGCGCGCGGGGCCGGGTCCCTGGGCCGCCCCTCAATGCTGGGCCAGATGTGCGCGAGTGAGTCCGGGCTCAAGTTCTCCGGACCTCCTCCGGACCCCGCCTCCTATTTCCACGGGTCTTTTGTTTCTCCCGCACCCCGTCGTGGGTGCGATGCCTGCCCTTGGGGACCCGGAGAGGGGCACCCTGCCCGAGTTGCCGTGAGATGGAGCCGTGTGGGGAGGGCGCAGGGGCCGGGGTGCCTCACTCCCTTCCCTTTTTCCGAGAAAGGGGGTGGCTGGGAACGTGCCTCCTAGGGGCTCGGGAAGAGGGGGAGAAGGGGAGGCACGCCCTCGGTGCTGGGGACACTTTCTTCAGCTCCTCGCCCAGCAGTTTGCAAACCTGCCGGGTGCCCAGGGGTGGAGCCAGGGTCGCCCCTGAGGTCCCAGCCGAGTTCCCGACAGCCCCCTCCCCGGAGACCTCGTCTCGTTTCCACCCATTTGGCCACGCGGGGACACCCACGGACTCGGCTCAAATGAGCTGGTGTTCCTGTTTGATAACTTTCTGCGTCGCCCCCTGTTTGTTTTTATTGTGTCAGAAAAGGAGAGAATTTCAGAATTAAAGCTGAAAAAGCCCATCTGTTTCCAATGAATCCCCCATAGTTTTTCACAATGTTTTTGGCAGATCGCTGCTTTCAAATTCCTCCGAGCCCGGACCTCTTGTTTTTGTTGGGGGAAGGGAGACCAACTCCACAGAGAAGCATTTGTTCCTTCCCAAACGCTCCAGTTTCTTTACTTTTTTTCCTTTCGGGGGGAGGGGGGAGGCATGCAACTTAAATCCCCGGCCTGTTTTCTTTATGATGTTTCATAAAACTTTATTTCATTTTTGCCATATGCTGCTCACAGCCAGAAAACGCCAGTTAAGCCCTTTATACCCATTTTTTTTCTTGCTAAAAATACAAATAAACACAATGTCACGGGCCAAATGGCCCCCCCGGCGCAAGGCGGGATCTCCCAGCCGTTTCCATTGTGTTTGCGGGGTTCAGAGGTGTCTTTTTGAAAAAATTTCATCTTGTTTCGCACCACAGCCAGGCGTAGAGCCGCAGCCCCCGCGCACTACTGAGCTTTGCAAGAAAGGACTTGAGTTTAGACTCGGATTGGGTTATTTTGATTTGCTCTTCCGCCAACTGGGTTTCAAGGAACTGGCAAAACTGGGCAGGTCTGGCTCGGCCTGGCTGTGAGTTGGGGCTCCCAATGGGCGGACCACGCAGACAGTGAACAGTAGGGAGCGAGGGATCAGTTTACCCCCTAGTCCCAGCCCTGCTCCTGGCCCCCAGCGCCAGCTCAGACTTGTGCGTCCGGCTTACTCAACCACTGCGCACCCCAGAAGGGTCGCAGAGAGCCGCAACCTGCTCTCCAGACCTAGGTTCCATAGGGAGGCCTGGCCAAGGACAAGATGTCGGGTGAGGGATCTTGGTATCCCCAAAAAGTACTCAGCTTGGAATGTCAAAACCTCCGCAGGGGATCAAACAGCAGGGTGCCCTCTCCTCACCCCCAGTGTATTTAAAAGGCAGTTTCTCCACCTACTTAAGAGTCTGGTTGAACAGCCCAATTTGGTTTCCTCCCAAGAATTCAAAATTAAAATAAAAATCACCCTATTTAAGAAGAAGTCAACGTTTTGGAAAAGCAGGAGTTTGCAATTTGTGTTCTTGGTTTGGTCTAGATAAAGATCAAGCCCATTGGAAGTTTTATCAGATGGGTTGATAAATGGCTTTTGTCCCTTGGCTGCCGTGGGGGATGTGATCTCAGCTCAAAGCTGAAATTGAGAAGAGGGGCTTAGAGGCCCTTAAAACAACACCTTCCCGCTCTTAAAGCTGCAGCACTTGTTACCTTTTGGGGCTGGAGAGGAAAGGAAGGCCTGGCAGAAGTTTCCAGAGGTAGGAGGCTGCATGGCCTGAGTGGTGGTGGTTTTGTTGTTTCTCGATTTATTTCTCCATCCTAAAAACTTTTATTTTAAAGCATCCCGCCATAGGCTGAGGAACACTGGTAGGTTATATAAGTCACAGCCCAAATTCCATCACTTTTGTTTCCAAGAAACCCATTTCTTTTTGGCGTCAAGGCCGGTAACTAAAACCTGGCCGATGGAACTGATAGCTGCTCTCCTGTCACGCCAGCTGGCTAATGTTTCTTCTCATTTGAGGGCTTGACAGCTGCGTTTAGTCAAAATTGCCCACCTGACTGAAAACTGAGCTTCCAGTACCCCAAAACTAAATATACTGGGGGCTCCAAAACTTGTGTGCTCTAGAAATGTGGGTCAAAAGACAGTTTCTTAAGTAAGGGATGAAATGGGAAATTTCCACAACAGAGAGAGACTGTCCCATTCTTTGACACATTGACCAGGAGAGGGGCCGCTTAGGAATGAAGTTAGAAAACTTGCAGGTCTGATGGAGAGCAAGGCGGGAGATCGAGAAATAAAGCCCCAGCAAGTGGAAGGCACCCAGACACACTGGGGGCCCCTGTGTGCCTTGGCCTCTCCCGTTGAAGACAGGTGGAAACTGGCCGAGCAACTGCGTGAAAGCCTCGGTTTGTTCTGTGCTAGTCAGCTTGAATGGCTGCCAGGAGTAAGCCTATAGGAGTGCAAATTAAATCGAACATAGTTATGTGGAGAAAGATGCCTTCACCTCAGCTACACTGAGAGCGTTTGTGTGTTTCGAGTGTTTGCATTTACTTACTCCATGTGGATGGCCAACCTACTGGGTTCCTGACTCAGTGACAACTTTTGGAGCCTTCTAACCAAGCCCCTCAGGCAGACCACAGCCTGGTGATGAGAAAGGGCCCCTGCACTGTCAAGCGGTCTGGAAGGGTGTCTGTTTAGATGATTCTTTGGGGACAGCACAGGCAGACAGTGTCCACGTCTACCTAGGAAGGGAGGCCAGAAAGGACTCTTAAAAGAGCATTCCACAAATGGCATCCTACTCAAATCACAGCTAATAGATGGCTTTTTAAACTTTGAAGCCATTGTGACTTTTTCGAAAAGAGTTCCAAGAGAAATCCATCCAGGCATATGTTTCGGACATGTCACCAGGCTTCCTGTTCACTATGTGTGGGTCCTGTACTTCAGCACAGTGGTTCTCCAAGTGTGGTCCCTGGACCAGCAGCATTAGCCTTCCTTGGGAACTGGTTAGAAATGCAAGTTCTAGGCCCACCACAGACCTATAGAAGCAGTTACTCTGGAGCTGGGGCCCTGCAGTCTGTGTTCTAGAGCAGGCCCTCCAGAGAGCTCTGATGCATGCTCAAGTTTGAGGATCGCTGTTCTAAGAACTATTGCACTCCAGACTTTCTTTGTTCCTTCTTTCTTCCCCTTATACTTTGAACTGCAGCTGTTTTAGAAATGTTAGTCCTCAGTGGGTAACTAAGGTTTCGGGAGACCAAGGCCCTCTGCAGTGTCCAGGTACATCTGTGTCGCTATAGAAATGAGACTGTTTCTATCAGAGCTGCTATTCAAAAATGCATCGGCCAGGCGCGGTGGCTCACGCCCGTAACCCCAGCACTTTGAGAGGCCGAGGTGGGTGGATTGCTTGAGGCCAGGAGTTCGAGACCAGCCTGACCAACATAGCGAAACCCCGTTTCTACTGAAAATACAAAAATTAGCTGGGCGTGGTGGCATGAGCCTATAATCCCAGCTACTCGGGAGGCTGAGGCAGGAGAATCGCCCGAACCCGGGAGGTGGAGGTTGCAGTGAGCTGAGATCGCACCACTGTACTCCAGCCTGGGTGACAGAATGAAACTCCGTCTCAAAAAACAAACAAAAAAAAAATGCATCAGCAGATCAGCCTGCTTACCACACTATTGCTCTCCCAGTAGGACTTTGTGTCCCAAGGGGAGAGTGTCTTAGTTTGTTTGGGCTGCTGTAACAAAATACCATAAGTGGGTGGCTTATACATGACAGACATTTATTGCTCACAGTTCTGAAGGCTGAAAAGTCCAAGAGTGATAGGTGCTGGCAGATTTGATGTCTGGTTTGTAGATGGTGCCTTACAGCTCTGTCCTCACAGGGCAGAAGTGAGGGCACTCTGTGGGGTCCCTTTTATAAGAGCACTAATCCCATTCTTGAAACCTCCACCCTGATGACCTAATCACTTCCCAGATCCCTCCTACTTCTCATACCATCACTTTGGGGTTAGGCTTTAAAAGGTGAATTCGGAGTTGATGTTCAGTGGCAAGAACCAGCCAGCTAGCAACCAGTGTGTGACGGCACCTGCAGAGCAGCGCATTGGCTCCCAGGGAGAGCACGCACATAAAACTCTACAGATGGCCAGCCACTAGGCCCTGAGGGTGTATTGAGGAGAAAGGGAAAGGATCTCTAGTCTTGTGATCTGAGGAAGGGAAAGGTCTTTGCAAGGTTGGAGAAATGGCTAGTAGTCACTCCAGCGCTCAGAGGATGGGAGCTGGGGAGAGGTGATCTGTGGGCACAGATAAGGCCACTCTATGAGATGGAGAAGAGGAGGCCTTGGAAGATAAGAGGCTGAAGGTGGGGACCAGTTTACATGTTGGGGAGAGTGTCGTTCCTGCTAGAGATCTTGTCTTTGGTGAAATGTGCGAGGCCTAGAACTGGGCAGAGAACCCCAACTTTAGGTTTTGGTTGAGTAGCAGTTAGGGGCCATGCTGTTTTGCTGCTTGGCAAAAATTCAACCAGCCTTAAATTGAAGACAGTATTTCTTTGAAGGTAGCCAACTTATCCCAGTTTGCCCAGGACTTTCCTAGTTTTAAAACTGGAATCTATATGTCCTGAGAACTATCCTCAGTCCCTGGCACACCAGGACAGTTAGATTAAAACCCTAGTTTTATCCTCTCCTGTCCCCTGGACTCATGCCTAGCCTGTATCTGTTAGGGACTCCCCTGTCCAGATCTGTGAAGTCCTGGGTGTGAAGTGGGCCCCTCCATGTGGTCTAATCACCTGGGGCCATGGGTCCTTCCTCCTCCTGGTCCTGCCTGTTCCCTCTGTCACCTTGCTGCCATTGCAACAGCAGACAGGCTTAGGACCTGCCTGCCTCCCCCGATCCTCGCCATGGTGCCAAATGAATCACTCTGAAACTCCTGCCCAGGAGCTCATGGCTGCTCATGGCCTGCTTTGGAGCATCAGAAGGGAGGGTCTCTAACTCCCGGCCCCCGACTTTTCCCAAGCTCATTTCCAAGGCTTCCAGCACATCCCCAAGCCCTGGGTCACCCCTTTGCTCCCTGCTTGCCTCCCCATATACCACCCCACCACACCCCACCTGGCCACTCTAAGGCATTGCTCTGGACACTGCCCAGTTTCACCACTCCAAGCTCAGTGCCGTCTACAGGGGTCCAGTGCAGACCCCCCCGACGCCGGGGACACCTGTTACCTTGGTTGCTGACAACTGAGCCACCTGCTGGGCTTGGTGCCTCATGGGCCTTACGTTTTTGTCCTCTTGTAAAGCACCAGTTCTGTTTATAAAAGCAGGAACCTCATTTCTGTTTCTATATGCCCTTCTTTTCTCCACCCACCCCAAGCACACCCACATAGTCCTGGGAACTACAGGGCCCTTGGGTTTTTGTGTGTGTTTCTGTTTGTTTTGGGTTTTGCTCAATGGGCAAAGACCACAGGATTTTTTTTTCTTTTTTCCAGATACTCAAGTTTTTTTCCAAAATAATTTTTTCTGGTTATAAAAACAGTACTCATTTTTAACTCTGAAAGCTGAAAGGGATAAGTAATAAAATAAAAATAACCCAAAATCCAACCTCCCACAGACAACCATCACTAAATGAACATTTCACAAACATCTTTCAAGATATAATACCTTTATATCCTTCTCTCCAAAGTAGGATCATTTGAAGGAGAGTAATAATTTTTAAAGCTCTTTTGGTTGAGTGGCCACAGTGTAGCAGGCATTCTGCCAAATGCCTTAAGGCCATTCCCGTGAGGATCATCATTCCCATTTCACTGATGAGGAAACACAGGGTCAGAGAGGTTTTCCCGACATTGCACACATAGCCAGTTGCATGGCAGAGCCAGAAGTAGAACCCAGACTCCTGCCCTGAGCCCATGCACAGATTTTGGATAAATATGTCATTAAATATGCCATGTGGTGCCAGGCTCGGTGGCTCACACCTGTAATCCCAGCACTTTGGGAGGCCGAGGCGGGTGGATCACTTGAGGTCAGGAGTTTAAGACCAGCCTGGCCAACCTGTCTCTACCAAAAATATAAAAAACCGGGCGGCGGCGGGGGCCGGTACTGGACCCGGCAGGATGAGCGAGGTGGAGGCGGCGGCGGTGGTGACGGCAGTCCCCACGGCGACGATGCCCGGGGTGGTAGCGGTGGTGGTACCAGTGCCCGCAGGGAAGCCCCAGAAAGCAGGTGGCGGGGAGGGCGGTGGCAGGGGCGGAGTCGCCTCGGGCCCCGCTGCTGGGATGGGACCCCCTTGGTGCCTGGCCCCCGCACCCGTGGCAACCCGGCGGCAGCCCTGGCAACGACGGCGGCCTTGGAAACCCCCGCCCCCCGTTTCCCCCACCTGGAGTCACGCGAACAAGCTGGTGCTGCTGGCACTCCGAGTCCTGGGCACTGTCAAATGGTTCAACGTCCGGAATGGTTACGGATTCATCCACAGGAATGACGCCAAGGAAGATGTCTTTGTTCACCAGACAGCTATTAAAAGAAGCCCAGGAAGTTTCTGCGCAGCGTTGGAGATGAGGAGACTGTGGAATTTGATGTCGTGGAAGGAGAGAAGGGTGCAGAAGCCGCTAATGTAACTGGGCCCGGGGAGGTGCCCGTGAAGGGCAGCTGTTATGCCCCCAACCTACGTAAGTTTCGCCGATTCATCCCCCGGCCTCCCTCAGTTGCCCCACCACCCATGGTGGCAGAGATCCCTTCAGCGGGGACAGAACCTGGCAGAGAAGGGGAACGGGCCAAAGACTCCGCGCAGCGGCCCAGACGACGGCGCCCCCCACCCTTCTTCTACCGACGGTGGTTTGTGCGAGTCCCTCGGCCCCCCAGCCAGCAACAGCCTACAGAGAGCACTGACGGGGTAGAGCCCAAAGAGCCCCATTGGAGGGGCAGCAACAGCAGGGAGGTGAGCGGGTTCCCCTACCTCAATTCTGGCCCAGACCACCCCAGCCAGCCTACCACGGAAGGTGGGGACGGTGAGACCAAGCCCAGCCACGGTCCCGCTGATGGTCCCCGGCCTGAGCCCCAGGGCCCACGAAACCACCCCTACTTCCAGCAGAGAGGGCAGCAGGCCCCGGCCCCCGGCAGCCCGCAGCCCCTGAGACCTCAGCCCCTATCAACAGTGGGGACCCCGCCACCACCATCCTGGAGTGATTCCAACTCAAAGGACACCCAGAGCTGCCATCTGCTATCTGCCAGTTTTTCCAACTGACCTGTACCCTACCCAGTACCCTGTTCCCCGTTTCCCATAATTCATGGCATCAAAATACCAGCTTTTCATCTTTTCTTTGAGACTCAGGAGGGCCAAAGCAACAGCCTTTTGCTTTTTTTTTTTTTTCTTCCCTTATCAAGGGTTGAAGGAAGGGAGCTTACTGTTCAGAGACACCAACCCCCTCCCCTAACTCAGGCTGAGAAGGAACCAGCCAGCTCTCAACCTCCTCCTGGTTGTTTTTCTTTGCCCCCCAAGTTTATTTTTGTTTTCTCCCGGCCCCCAACCTCTGAAGCCATTTTATCATCTGTCATGTGCCACCTGAACCTCCAGTGAAAACAAAAACAGGCTTTCCTGTGGTCTTGGAAAAAAAATACAAAAAAATTAGCTGGGCATTGTGGCATGTGCCTGTAATCCCAGCTACTCAGGAGGCTGAGGCAGAAGAATTGCTTGAACCTGGGATGCGGAGGTTGCAGTGAGCCGAGATCCCACTGCTGCACTCCAGTCTGGGCAACAGAGCAAGACTCCATCTAAAAAAAAAAAAAAAATTACCATGTGGTATATTGGACTCTGTACTGTGTGGTATAGAAGGCTTGAGATGCGGAACAAGAAATAGACTTTGGGGATATGATGAGGATATGCATTTTCCAAGGATCTAGCATTTTTGCCTCCTCCCAAAGGCCCTCTGCCTCTTGCTCACCATGGCATAGCATTCTAAAGAGGACGATGCCACCCAGCCACAGGAAGACAAGCTGGCAAAGCTGTCATTGTGCACATGTTCCCAAGTCAGATTTATGTCTGTTGGGTTTTGCTTATGGATTCATTTCATGCACCATTTCACTCCAGCCGGCAGAATACCCGATTACAGTGATGCCTCCGCACCTAGGTCCCCGCAGAAGGAAGCCCAGTTGCTCCCTGTGCTAAGAAATGCCACATGAACACAGACCCACACACGCGTGTGCGCAGGCTGGGCAGGAGCCTGGCTGGCTTGCATTTGTTCTTCCCCCACACGCAGAAGGTGAAGGAGGAAGGCCTGCCTGCCGGCAGCATTGAGGGAGAAAAGCCACTTCAAAGGCATTTAGACCCGCAGGCTAGGCGGAGGAGCCCAGGGTCACTAGAGGCAGCGCCAGCCCTAGACTCAGGAGAAGGAGGTATGCCTCAAAGCTGGAGGACCAAAGTGCTCACCTGCAAGCATCGTTTACATCTGGAAAGTTATGTCTGCCTATAATCACCTATCTTGTGGAACTCGGAGTAGCTTATCTAACTCTGCCCTGAGACAGGATGGTGCCGGCGTGGAATCCTGTGTCCAGCCCTTGCCAGCCTAGGGCTCCTCTTGCCTAGAGAAGCTATCAGCCCCCCCACTGAAGCTGCTTGTGGCCTTGGCCAGAGGGTGAACACCACACTCTCACACCATCCTACTTGCCCGTGGTCTGCCTCCACATGGCCCCAGGAGGAACTGGGGGATGGGAGGGTAGTGTGGAAAGCTGAGGTGTGCCCTTTCCCTTGGCACACGGTGTGGTTTCGTGTAGCCACTTGGTATGAGTGAGGCTGGGGCAAAGCAGCCCTGGCTGGCTGTGACACGGGCAGTACCTCCTGCCTGAGCTCCGTGAGTGGCATTCGGCCACTTTTGCCCATGCTCACGTGGCTGTGAGTTACCCCTCCACAACCCCAGCACCCCAACTGACCCCCACCTCCACAGTCAACTGAGGTTCCCTGAGAAGCTCCCTCTTTCTCCTGTGGCTGGTTTCTAGAGAAAACCTCCTAGAAAATTTCCAGTGGATTCAAAGGGTGGGAGCCACATTGGAGTCACAGGTTCCTTGGAACATTCTTGGGCTAGACTCAGGGAGGAATGCATTTTAGAAAAGGTGACACATTCTGGCTGCTTGTAGGTTAAAGGTAGGGTCTGCTGCACCTGGTGAAAAATCCCGCGCTCACCTGGGTGTGTTCCTTTCGGTATCTGATGCCAAACACCTGGATGTTTACACCAGGATGACAGAGTGAAATTCCTGCAGGAGTGACACAAACAGGCAGCCTCAGGCATCTCAACTCAGAGACTCCCGAATACTGCTCTGGCCAGAGTTTGCCACATATGGGTGGTGCGTCTGTTCCTGTCCCCTGTGAGATCCAGCACTGAGGCACAAAGGACAGGAGAGGGTGGGGAGGGGTGGCAGCGTGAGTCTCACTGGGTGTGAGCCGGCCAGCCCCCTGGCTCAGTGCTCCCTCCTCCACCTCCTTTGAACGGGGGACATACCATGTGGCTAAGGAGGGCATCTCAGCATCTGCCGCTCAGGCTAGGTGGACAGTGAGGAAAGGGACATGGGAGGTCTGAGGCTTCAAGGCTAGTGTCTCCACAGGCGCTGGCAGTGATTTCTTTTTTAAGCTGCTCTCCCTCCCTTCCCTCCGCCTGCCTCCATCCTAATTGAAGCCATCGCCTCTTCAGTTACACTGCTTCCTAAAATAGTGTTCTGATCACGCCCTGGGTGCTCACTGAAAATGCTTCAGGGGCTCCCTGCCATCTATTGGAAAAAAGCAGAAATCCTTAGGCTGGTGTGCCAGGGTCCAATCAGAAAAGCAAAACCCACCCGGGATGTTTCCGCAGAGGGGACTTCGTGTAGGGCATTGTTATGGGCATGGGAAGACTGAAAGGGCAAAGAGGGACCGCTGGGACACAGAGTGGCAGAAGCAGCTTCCACCCCTGCAGCCAGAGGGACAGAAGGAAGGCAGGTTTGGAGGAGGGCCCGGGACTCTGATGGGGAAGAAGGGCCGCTGCTGCTGGTAAGTGGTGGGAGAAGCAGCCTTGGGGACGGCAGGTAAACCTGTCTCCTGCCTCCCACCTTCCCTTCTCCATCTAGTGTCCCCTTGTGGGGAAATTTAACAGGGAACCCAGTGACGAAAGAGATGGGGTTTGCAGAATCCCTGCACCAGAGAGCAAAGTGGTTTGAAGCTGAGCGACATTTGCTTCCTAATGGGCACAGGTGGCACTCTAGGTTTCCGTGTCTGGCCCCAAACTCCTGGCTACACTCTGACCAGCCAGCATGTCGCCTCCTGCCAAGCTCAGTTGTTCTGGAGGTCCCTGTCGTCAGATCTTTGCCCTTCATCACCCGTCAAATTCAGGACCTCATTGAAATGCTACTTCCCTGATACCTTCTCGTACTTCCATTCTTAAACCTTTGTTGCTGTTAAGTGTTGAGATGAAACATGTTTGCTTTGTATTCTAGAAGTTTATGTGATTGACCATACCTGAGCGCAGAGATTAACTGGGGTTTGTTCCAGAAACAGCATTAATCACAGTGCCCGGCACATAGAAGGGTCCAGAACTTGGAGCAAGTAATTGAACTCAGGCAGTTCCCACGCAGGCCACAGAGTTGGACAAAAACAGCTTGACCCTGGGGCTTGCACTCAAAATGAGCCTTACCCCTTTAAGAGAGGGCAGGTCTTTTCCCTCTCCGGCTCACCCCACCCCTCCTACACAGTAACTGAAACCTGATCTAATCCCTTTGCACGCGGGTAATTTATTGGTCTGTTGAGCTTTTCTTGGTGGCAAATTGCATTGTCTTTATTCCTGGGTTCAGGCTCTGCAGCAGCTCACTGCATTCCTAGGACTCCTTTCTCAGGGTCGATCCTTCACACCCCCTCGTGCACTGCAAAATAAGTCTTATTGGGCTTCGTTGTTATGCAAACAGGGCGGTAATAATCAGGCTATTATTCTGAAAGATTGGGCTTGATTAACAGTTCAAAGGAGGTCTCTGAAAGCAGCTAGTGCTTCATTGGTGCATAAATATTTTCATCCTGCCAGCGTTGGTGCAGCTGGTGCTCCAAGCGCCCTCCCCTATCTTTCTGATTCTCAGAGGTGCTAGGTTGCTATTAAAAGGAAAAGAACTAAGTCAGACGTGCTGTGTGGCTGTGAGTTTTCTTTCTCTCTACCTTATCTCAGTCCATGAGGAAGGCAGTCTGGAGCCCCCCTCCCCAAAAGAGTGAAATGTCACCTACATACATTTATGTGAGTTGTGGGGCAAGTGCATCTCCCGGGCACAGGGTCCTGGGTGGGAGGTTTAAAACAGCATCACATCTCTGATAGGGGCCAGGCGTGGTGGCTCATGCCGGTAATCCCAGCACTTTGGGAGGCCGAGGCAGGTGGATCACCTGAGCTCAGGAGTTCGTGGCCGAGCCTGGGCAACATCGAAACCCCATCTCTACTGAAATAAAAATTAGCTGGGCATGCTGGCGGGTGCCTGTAATCCCAGCTACTCAGGAGGCTGAGGCAGGAGAATTGCTTGAACCTGGGAGGTGGAGGTTGTGTGAGCCAAGGTCGCGCCACTGCATACCAGCCTGGGCGACAGAGTGACTCTATGTCAAAAAATAAGTAAATCTCCTGATAGGCTTTGGGTATGGAGTATGGACGCCAGGACGAAGATGGGGGTCCCCAACCCTCAGAAGACTGACATGCAAGTGGGGAAGAGGCCGCTCAGCGGCCACCTCCTAGAGGAATATCAGCTGTGCAAGGGCAGATGGGTGACACTGACAGTCCAGTGACAGCCAAAGAGAGGAGCAGCTGGAGAGACCAAGAAGGTGGCGCAGGGAAGCTGAGGGGCCATCCTCGACAATCACAAAGCCGCCCTACTTCAGCCTTTCCTATGTGACTCTAGACAAGGGCCAGGGGAAGTCCTGGGATGCCGCAGTGCATCCACAGCTGGAGCTGTCCAGAGCAGGAGGGGCCAGCCCTGCCCCGGCAGGAGTGCTGCAGGGAGATGTCCTGCTGCATAAACTGGTGACCTGTGACATCCCCAGGCTCCCAGGTTCTAAAATTCCGTGGTGTGCCTTGAAAAGTGACCATTGTTTTTGGTCACAAAGTGATTGTTGGGGCTCTTTGATAAATTTGATTGCACGGAGAAGCCATGAGCTCTGGCCTGGATTGCTCGAGTCAGGAGCAAATGGGTCAGATGGTTGCCAGGGGTCCCAAGCTGAGCACCAAGGGCCCACCCCGCCCCCATCGGGTCTGGGAGCCACTCTGTCTTGTAGGCATTGCCTGGGCATCACCGCTTAAGCTGAGTCCCTCACCCCATGGGGCTCCGGGACAAGTTTAGGGGATTTCTGTTGTTGGATCTGGACAGGGCCAGAGCACTGTCTTTGCACACTTCTGGATTCTCCTTTTTGCCCCACTATAGCTAATCAGGAAAATTCAAGGCCTCAAGAGACCTGGGTCAAAACAAGACATGCAGTGCACATAATACCCCATAATATGCTTCTAAGGGGCATAAAGCTCTGTGTCTGTGTCTCTGAGGTCGAACCCCAGGTTGCAAGGCTTACCAAGGGGCCGGAGGGTGGCCCCTGCCCAAGGACACACTCAGTGGCTGGAGTAGAAATGGAAGCTCAGGAAACTTCTTAGGTTTTTCAGTCCCCTGGTTCTGTGTGTATTGGCTGTCCTGGATCCATCAAGAGGCAGCTCCAGAGCTAGAAGGTATAACTTTCTGGACTGCAGTACTGGGCAGGTGTGCTCAGCTCACACCCTGTGGGGCAGCTGGCTCTGTGTTCAACGCAGCTTGCTCTGAAAAGCAGCTTTCCTCTTCCGCTTGCAGGAGTTGCTGTAAGATCTGTTTTTCAGCTCAAACTTTCCTTCCTTCTTTCCATGGACGTTCGCATCAGAAAAGTCTAAGGTTTATTGCCTGGAATTGGGGTCTTTTTATAAAGATACAGCACATAAAAATCGGCCTCTCTGAGATCTCTTTGGCAGGTGACACCACAGCTATTGCTTTTGATGCTGGGCCAGATTTCATTCAGGTCCTTGACCTCTGGTGGGGGGCTGCAGTTGGTGATTTAGTGCCGTGGAGGCAAGGTGACTGGATGGCCGTGGAGGTCAGGGCCCCTCACTCCAGTCGCTGCCCGTGGGGACTGCCCAGCCCCTCGCATGGGAAATGAGGCCACACACACACATTTCTGGGACCCATCGTTCCCAGAGAGCTTCCTTTCCACATGGAGAGATGGCAGAGGGGAGCAGTCACCCTTTATTCTGGTCCCAGCTGGTCACTGTCAGTGGCCTTTTCCAAGTCATTCCCTTGAGCTTTGGAAGAGAGGAAGCCTCGTAAACTCTTAGGAAGATCTGCAGAGCTGGATCCAAGTTCCCTGAGAGTTTGGGACACCTGGGAAACCCAAGAAGTCGGGATGGGTCAGTTGGCAGCAGCCGCTGCTCCTGGTGGGCTCCGCACAGACCTTTGTGGAGGGAGGGCCCGGAATCGATTAAGCTTCTGGTTACTGCCCTGAGACCAGATGGGTCTGCGGCTGCATAGGAGACCCGCATCATGCTTTTGGGCCTTGGGGGAGCTGGGTCAGTCTCAGCTGGTGTCCTGAGGAGGGACTTGTGGCAAAAGCATCTTGAAAAGCATAGAAACAGCTCCAGGCCTGCCCATCTCAGCCCCAGCCCTTCCACTTGTGTGACCCAGGCCCGCTCGAGCCCGAAGCCTCCGTGTTTGCATCTGCAAAATGACGATCAAAATTCTTGCCCTCTAATCGGCAGTAGCGAGGATCCAACAGGAAAGCAATGTGTCACCTGCACAGGCCCCGGGAGCGCAGGCTATTTTATTGTCACGATCATGTTTTGTTTTCTGGGGTGAGGCCCAGCCCACGTACCTACCCAACCTCCCTATGCAGTCCTGGGTGCACAGCCTCTTCCCCAGTGAGGCCCCCAAGACAAGAACTCTTGTCTTCGTTCGTCTTTGTGGCCCCGCAGCACCTTCGTGTTGCCCGGTATGGAGCGTGTGGAAATCCGAGAGGTGTGAAGGAAGAGGAGAATGCAGCTTGGGGGCTGAGGGCTGTGGTTTGCACCTTGCCCCCTTCAGGGTACCTGAGGGTGGGGTGGGTGGGGAGCTATTTAATGCCTCTAGGCCTCAGTTTCCCTGTCTGTTGAATGAGGATAACAAGTCAGTCCTGGGTCTATATTAAGGGCTAAAGGAGACACATGTACAATGTCTAGCCCACAGTAAATGCTCGATAACACATTAGCTGTTAGTTAAGCTCAGCCTCTCCCATAAATTGTGATTAAACAAAACAAAGTTAACACAAAACTGGCTGTCACAGAGCTTCCTTCCCGAGTCTCCCGGCTTTGCTCACATCAGTGCCTGCAGTCCCTTTAACACCCCTCTGGTG
Source organism: Homo sapiens (assembly GCF_000001405.40). Lineage (NCBI taxonomy): Eukaryota > Metazoa > Chordata > Mammalia > Primates > Hominidae > Homo > Homo sapiens. The sequence goes on along the minus strand of NC_000015.10, from coordinate 93,058,388 downwards.
AGGTGCCCGTGCATGCCTGTAGCTCAGAAAGGTCAGTGAATTTGCCCACAGTCACACAGCTCTGGAGTGGCGGAGCTGGAGTTGATCTCGATGCTCTGCCCCACCACAGTAAGGTCCACCGCTGCGGTGAGACCCTCCCACTGGGCACTGCCCCATAAGAACATCTCACCTGTTGCCTGTCGACCCTGAATTCTCTCCAGTTCTCTCTGGGTGGGGAAATTGCAAGTATCCTTATTTTTCTTTCTCATATAGGATCTAAGGTCTCTTCATTTACTCATTAACAAGGGAAGGACAGAGGCAAACTTGTTGAAATTGTGCTTCAGGACCCAGAGTTTCTCACCGCATCTTCTCCCAGAAAATGTCTCAGCAGAAGAGGCATTTTAGGATGCCGTGAAAACTTGGGGAAGGAAGGGGTTGTGACAGGCAGGAAACCGAGTGCTCTCTGTCAGGAACAAGGACATAGAGACTGGACCACACAGGCTGTGGGGTACAGAGGTCTCCCAGCAGAGATACGAGAGCTCGATGTGCCACCCCCCAATCTCTCCCTCTGAAGAGCCAAGGGGATCATCCCAGGCCTGGGCAATCCCTGGGCGAAAACACGTCCTTGTCGGGAAATGGGAAAATGGGGTAGGTGAAGTTAAGTCAATCTGGTCCTTTGGTCTCTGGCCAGACAAATGTCTCCAGTGATACTGGCAGCTTCTGCAGAGGTGACTTGGGAGGGTGCAGGAAGGAGAGGAGGGAGGCGGCCAGTTTTCCCTCTATGACTGTCTCTTTAGCTTGGCCACCATAAGAAAATACCCCAGCCTAGGAGGCTTAAGCAACAGACGTTTATTTTCTCAGCGTTCTGGAGGTGGGAAGTCCTAGATCCGGTACCAGCATGGCCCAGTTCTAGAGAGAGGGCCCTCCTCCCGGCTCTCAGACTGTGGACTTCTCATTATATCCTCACGTGGCAGAAGGAGGGAGAGGGGGCAGGGAGAGAGAGAGAACGCTTAGCATTCTCCAAATGTCTTTATTTTAAGGGCACCAACCCTGTCGTGGGGGCTCCACTCTCATGACCTCATCTGAACCTAATTACCTCCCAAATGTCATCCCATAAGGGATTAGAACTTCAACCATCACATTTAGGGGGACAAAGTTCAGTCTATAGCGCTCTCCCTGGGCGTGAGTGAGGTAGTGGGGTGAAGCCACCTGGTGCCCATGGGAAGCGAGGCCCCCTCGACAGTCATGACCATTGACTGATCCTGGACAGTCAGTGGATTGAAGGAGCTGCCAGGAGTTGGGGGACCTGGATCCAGGTGGAATCCACTGCGCCCTGAGAGTGAGTGCCAGCAGGGCCTACCCCGGGGAAGGAGGGAAGAGGAGAGATGCCACATCTGCTGGAGCTTCACCAGGGAGGGGCAGGCTCCCTCCAATGCCCCTCCTGTCCCCCAAGTCTGTGACTTCTAACCTCTGACCTCCCGGGGCTGCAAGCATTGTACCCCACTGTGGCCTTTGTGGGGGACCCTGTTTGTTGGATGCCCCTGGGGCTCCAGGCACGCCATGTACATCTCCTCATATCCTCAGCGACCCTTTAAGGTGGACACAGTCTCTACTTGACAGTTAAGGAAACAGGCTGAGTCAAGTTCCCGAAACTACTGGTAGGGGACAGAGTGGGACTTTGAACCAGACACCTCCCTTCAGGGCCTGTGCTGGCCCTCAGCCCACCCAGAGCTGGGGCTGGCAGAACTTGGAGGGAATAGTGGGGCACGGAGCTCACCTCACCACCAGGGTCCTGAAGCCTACAGAGGAGTCGGGGAGACGGGGACCCTGGTTCCTGTGTGCAACGGTTCCAGAGTGTGACCTCTGCCACCATCTTTGAGTGGCAGGCAGACAGCTACGCCTGCTGGGTGAGGGGTGGTCTTGTTCTTAGAGTGGGTGGGGTCTGGGAGGAGGAGAGGAGCAGGAGAAGGTGCCCATGTGGAACGGAGAAGTGAAAGGGCCTCGTCTCAGGCGCTTCTTAGCCGCTCTGCATCAGGGCTAAGGTGGCCGCATCCCTGCTGTTTGCTCCTGGGGGCGCTGTCTGCCTCTTGCCACTCCTTTGCCTGCAGCCCCCTTCTCTGAAACTTCGCCACCAGCCCCCTCCCCATCCTGGGGAAATGTCGCCTTCACACACTCCGGGCTGGCCCGGCTCCATCAGGCACTAGCTTGGCTTCTGTGACCGTTGAAAAGAAAGTGAACCAACTCTGAAGCCTCACTACTCAAAGTGGGCCGGGGACCAGCAGCATGGGCCTCTCCTGGGAACTTGGTAGAATTGCAGAACCCCTGGGCTACTGGGGCCTGCCGAGCTGGGTCCCAGGCCACCCAGTACAGCCTCATCTGGGGCTACCAGATCCCACTCTGTGGCCCTGGAGCATGCGAGGGACCCCTCTCCGGGGTACCTGGGTGGGATTTCTGTCATGAACTGCCCACATACCCCAGAGTTCTGTAGCTGCGGTGCTGCTCTGAGAACAGTTTTGAAGGCTGTGGAGGTAGCAGATCCCGATCACGAAGCCAGTCCACTTAAAATTCAGGAGGCTGCGGAGTTACCCATTTGGAGGGTAGAGCCACACCTGGGCACCAGTCTGACCCTGCCGTCGAGCCCCTGCTCACCCTGGGAGGTGACCCCTTGGAACTTGTCTGCTGGAGGCAAGGCAGGGAGAAAGCGTGTGTGGATCACAGGCCTCCTGCTCCTGGGAGCACAGTGTCATAAGATGGGTCTTGCAGGAGAGGCTGGAGCCCACCCGTGGGGGAGGGAATCGGGTGTGCTAATGAGGTTGTGTGATGATGTGTGGCTGCCGGGGGCGTGAGCTCTCAAGTCCAGCGGGCTGGATTCATGTCCTGCCCTGGCTCCTTCCTGGAAGTGAGACTTGGGCAAGAAGTCAGCCCAGCAGAGCCCGGCTTTCCCCTGAGAGCTGGGGATGGCAGTCGCACCGGGAAGATGCAATGAGGGGAGGCCTGTACCGCCTGCAGCACCGGACCTGGGACGGAGCCAGCCAGCTGGGACTTCACGGTCCCTGCTCTCCTAGGTTCTACCAGATTTGGTCGTGGTGGAGAGTCAGAGCCCAGCACAGCTCCTGCTTGTGTTGCAGTGGGACCTGCTGTAAAGGGACAGGCAGTGTTCTTTCCTCTACTTTGGTCACAGTAAGTGCCACAGGTGAACCGGAGCTTGAGCGTGGCCATCCATTAACAGGAGACCAGTGTTCCTTCCGGTTGATTTTCTCTGACACCCACATCTGCATGATTCTGAGGAGGCAGAATGGCAGGTCAGCACACCGGGCCCCTGGAATTAGTGAGGCTGCCGGGACAGGCATTGTGTGTAGGCCACCGCGCCAGTCAGTTCCTGTGTGCTGGGTCCCTCCAAACGCTTGTTCTGCGTAGCACTCCCTCCCCATACACGCCCCCACCACACTCACCTCCTGTACCGGCTTTATCAGGGGGCGGCAGGGAAGCTACCACACCAACATTTCAAAGCCTACAGGTAGGTTGGGCCCTTGCACATCTTGTACAGGTTAAGGAGACGTGAAGACAGCAGGGCAAGAGAATCTTCTCGTTGCCTTGGGAGGGAGACCTCTCCTCAGGAGCACACCTGTGTAGGAGGAAGACTACATGGGGGCATCTCACCAGTGCCCCCCACGTATCTACCACAGCATCCCTTTACGGTGGTGTATTAGTCTGTTTTCACACTGCTGATAAAGACATACCCAAGACTGGGTAATTTATAAAGGAAAGAGGTTTAATGGACTCATAGTTCCACATGGCCGGGGAGGCCTCACAATCATGACAGAAGGCAAAGGAGAAGCAAAGGCACATCTTACGTGGCAGCAGGCAAGAGAGCATGTGCAGGGGAACTCCCATTTATAAAACCATCAGATCTCATGAGACTTATTCACTACCACCAGAACAGTATGGGGGAAATGACCTCCTGATTCACTTATCTCCACCTGGCCCCACCCTTGACACGTGGAGATTATTACAGTTCAAGGTGAGATTTGGGTGGGGACACAGCCGAACCATATCAAGCGGGCACCACCTGACTGTCATTTACCTAACCTGACCCTTTAAGTGAGTATACTTCTTCAATTTAAAGCTAATAAAATGGAAAATCTGTAGCTCTTCCATCAATTTTTTTTTTTTTTTTTTTGAGATGGAGTCTTGCTCTGTCTCCCAGACTGGAGTACAGTGGCGCCATCTCAGGTCACTGCAACCTCTGCCTCCCGGGTTCAAGCAGTTCTCGTGCCACAGCCTCCCGAGTAGCTGGGATTACAGGTGCGCACCACCATGCCCAGCTAATTTTTGTATTTTTGGTAGAGAAGGGGTTTCATCATGTTGGCCAGGCTGGTCTCGAGCTCCAGACCTCACATGATCTGCCTGCCTCGGCCTCCCAAAAAGTGCTGGGATTACAGGCGTGAGCTGCCATACCCAGCAATTTTTTTTTCTTAATGCACATTTAAATAAAGATATGACTTCTCAAATTAAAAGACAAAGTGTTCACTTAGGTATCACCTGAAATTACCTTGTTACTGGCAGTATGGCAAACGGGTCACGTGAAGGGGGGAGCCCAAATTTCAGATGAGCACTGACTCGCCCGTGCTCAAGTCTGTGATCTGGGAAGGTGACTTGTGCTCCAGTAGGATGGTGCCCACCCACCTGCAGAGGCGGGAGAGATCACCCAGGTCCAGGGCTGCACAATGCAGGCTGGGTTCACACAAGGCTGCTGGGATAGGTAGGCACTCGTGCTCGCGTTAGCCTGCCCTCAAATGTGTCTGTTCTTGGTTTTATGTGCAACTCAATTTTATAGGTAAAACCAGCACCAGAGACACAAACTGACCTTTCCAAGGTCACAAGCCAAGTTAGTGGCCCAGACAAGAGTGCTGAGGCTCCCTTTCCCCGCTGGAGACCACCCAGGCCAGGACTGGGCTGTGACCCCAGAGGCTGGACCTCCCAGCTGGTGTCCTGGCCCCTTTCTCCTGGAACCCATGTAGGAACTTCTGTCCTGCTGCAGGTCTGTGTGCCTGGCCAGTTGTGGTCACTATGGGCTGTGCAGAGGAAGGCCAGAAAAGGGCAGGTTCTGTGTGTTGAGAAGATAAGGTGTGTTAAAGCCATAGTTCTGGGGCACGGTCATTTTGGCTAATTGTCACTAAAGTCTCAAAGCTTGTGAGGGATCCAAGGTTACTACTCTCAGTTGCTTCTCAGCTTGCTTCTCTGAGCAGGACAGAGGATGGGGCTATGGTCAGCATAAGGGAAGCCAGTTCCTCTATGGCCAGGGCTAACAGAGCACTCATACCAGGCGACGTTCATTGAGTTTTGGCCGTGAATGCTGGGGCCAGACTAAGTCCTTTATACGTGATAAATCACTTCACACTCATCATCCCATCTTCCAGATGAGTATAACAAGGCACAGAGACGGGAGGCCATTTGTATAAGGTCATACAATGCCAGGACTGGGGACACATTTAATAGTGGGGCCAATTCCCTGCCAGATTCCTGTTGCTTTAGCCAAAATTCTTGGGGATGGCCATGAAAGTGTATATAGATGTCAGCGGCCCCAGGGTGGCCTGTCAGCTCCCAAAGTCCTACTGCCCCCAAACAGTGACCACTCCCTAGCAGGCTGGCGCTGTGGGAGGATCCCCACTAGCCCTTTCAGCCTGCTGGTGTGCATGCTTGTCCACTTGGGGTCGCCATAGGCTGGGTAGAAGGACCCCTTTCCTACCACCTGCAGGAAATTTTTCACCATCTGTGTGTGGCATGGGTGGCTCTGCCCTAGATGAGGCGATGTGTGGCTGCTCCCCTGGCCCACAGATGGTAGCAGAAGCTGGGGTTGCCAGGCTGCACCCCGACGGTGTGTTCGTTCCTTTCTCCTCAGCCACCTCCCCGTGCAAGATCCTCAAGTGCAACTCTGAGTTCTGGAGCGCCACGTCGGGCAGCCACGCCCCAGCCTCAGACGACACCCCCGAGTTCTGTGCAGCCTTGCGCAGCTACGCCCTGTGCACGCGGCGGACGGCCCGCACCTGCCGGGGTGACCTGGCCTACCACTCGGCCGTCCATGGCATAGAGGACCTCATGAGCCAGCACAACTGCTCCAAGGATGGCCCCACCTCGCAGCCACGCCTGCGCACGCTCCCACCGGCCGGAGACAGCCAGGAGCGCTCGGACAGCCCCGAGATCTGCCATTACGAGAAGAGCTTTCACAAGCACTCGGCCACCCCCAACTACACGCACTGTGGCCTCTTCGGGGACCCACACCTCAGGACTTTCACCGACCGCTTCCAGACCTGCAAGGTGCAGGGCGCCTGGCCGCTCATCGACAATAATTACCTGAACGTGCAGGTCACCAACACGCCTGTGCTGCCCGGCTCAGCGGCCACTGCCACCAGCAAGGTAAGGGGGAGGGGGCGGCTGTAGGGCACAGCCCTGCCCTTTGTCTCTGCCCTGCGTGGACACTGAGAGGCTGAGAGGGCCTCGGGTGCCTGGGAATGGGGGAAGACGGAGCGGAGCGGGGACACAGGAGCACCCTCCCTGAGCATCCCAAGGGGGTGGGTCTCAGCTTCCTCCCTCCTTCCTCGAGCCAGCCCGGCCTGGCAGGCATAGCTCCACTTCACAAATGGGGAGCCTGATGCTCTAAGAGGCCAAGTGACCTTCCCACCCCAAGTGCGTAGTCAGCTGGAATGCTGAGCTAGAATTTGCCCCAGGCCCGGGTGACTCCAGAACCTGGCATATTCTGAGCGGCCCCACGAGGCCACTGCGGGCTGCTGGTTTTCAAACCCAAGGAGGCCTCAGCAAGTGGGCAGCAGGACTCAGGTCCTGCTCATGGGGCCGCAGCCACACACACAGCCATGGACCCACGCAAGTGGACACTCCTGTCTACCCCAGGCCTCCCTCCCCTACCTGCTTTTGGGGAGGATGTCCTGAATCGGACTTAGCCAGAGGGCAAGGCCTCGAGGCCAGGAAGGAAGCTGGTGGCTCCCAGTTCAGGCGATGGGGACACGTCCACCCTCCCCAGTGCCCGGCCCACCGGTGCCCCCTGGGGTTTCCAGCTTGGCGAAATGGCAGTGGGTCTGTTTTCCTAGGAAGAGCCAGTTGGAAGGCCGTGTGTCGGGCAGTGCCAGATTTACCACAAGGGCGTTTCTGTTCCTTCCCACCCCTCCACACCCAGAGGAGGACAGCGAGGTGACCTGGCAGCCAAGGAAATGCTCCATCCCTGCCACTTCCCTCTGCTCCGGTGGCCCTTGCCTGCCTGCAGGGGGTCACTTTCTGGTCCCTGGCTGGGCGGGAAATAAGCAGGTCTTCGCCCTGTGGATTCCCAAGCGGGCCCTTGGCACCACAACATGACACCTAATGGAGAAGACTTGCAGCCGGTACACTCCACCCTGTGCCCCCGCAGCCCTCCGCATACTCAGGGCCTGCCTGCATCAAGGACCCAGCCACCTCCCCCACGGCCCCTGCACCTCCCCACCACCCGCCCTCCTGAGAGCCAAGACAGACGGACGCCAGGAGCCTGAGGCTGCAGCTTCTAAATCCAGGCACCAGCACGCTTCAGAGGGGACCTGGCCTCCCTGTCCCATCCTGCAGGTTCCCAAGGGCTGGCAGGGCGCACAGGGAGGTCTGAGGATGTGAGAGGGATGTGGACCCCAGGTGGCTCGCTCCTCCAGACCCCAGGGGGTGGAAGCACCAAATGCGACAACAGAGCCAAGCCACGCACCGGGGAGGATTTGTGATTTGTGTGCAGGGAGGCTGGGCTGCTGCCCCCATTATGGATGGGGGTGATGTGACGGGGTGGAGCAGTGGAGGGAGAACTTCCCTTCCTATCCCAGCATGGAGGCTTCCAGAAGAGTATGAAGCAGAGCTTCACCAACCCAGCCCATTTCTGCTGCAACCGAAGGCCACCTTTGATCTCAGCAGGCTGAGAGCTCAGCCCTGTCAACCAGGCTCTGCTGGAGGCCAGACAGTGACAGCGTCAGTGTCTGTGGCCAAGTCAGTCTCAGAACTCGGGCCAGACTGGGGTATTGTGGTCCCCCGGTGAGAACGTCGGTGGCTGGCTTCAGGCACCTTTGGCCTGCCCCCGCCTGTCTGTCAGGCCTCCGTTACTCAGGTGTGTTTGTTCACTCATTGATGGAGCAAACACTTAACAGACGTTGCATCTGTGCCAGCCTCTGAGCTAGTTGTTGCCCTCCCTCCCAGAAGCTCCCAGGCTAGTGAAGAGCAAAGACCAGCAAAGGGGAGCTGGCGATGGAGGCTGGGGCAGCAGGATGTTGAAGGCCATTGGGAGCCTTGGCTCTGTCCAGAGAACTGGGGAGCCCATCCACCAAGCTCGCCCCTGAAGCACAGCGCAAGTTTCCGGATGGAGGAACAGAGGAGTCGACATCCAAAGCAGGCGGAGTGGGAGAGCAGCCTGGTGTCTGCAGGGAGCAGGGAAAGGCAAGGGACTTTCATCTCCAAGATGATGAGGCCTCTGGGTTTCTGTGACCACCTCGACTACCACCAACAGAGCCCTCTGGGCCTGCCAGACTCTACCACCCACTGGAACCCACTCCCCTTTCCCCTCTCAGGCAGCCAGAGACTCCATCTGTCCCTGCACACCTGCCCTTGAGGGCCTCTCCTCAGGCTTCCCAGAGTGTGTCCAGCCCCTGCCTGGCCTGACCCTGACCTTGCAGCTATGAGATTTGCCTTCCTGTGCAGAAGCTCCGTGTGCAAGCTGTGTGTGCATGAAGCTGCCCCCAAACACCCGGGCATCACTAGGGGCCTTTATTTGTTTCTCATGATACTGGCAGTATCAGCCAATCAGCCAATCCCTCTGTTCTTGTGGACGATCAAGATCTAGTGTTTTCTACGTGGACATTTTAGCCAGTGTCTTACCCCCGTGGGACAGCCTTCTGTGCCCAGCCTCCTGCTCCATCACCCTCTTCCCATCTGTGCTGCTGATACCCATTTTACAGACAAAGAAACTGAGACTCAGGAGAGGACAGGAACTCAAGTCCTGCGCCTTCCCCTTCCTTTCCCCGCTGGTTAGTTTTCCCCATAGCACTTGCCAGCCTGTCCCTCTGCATGATTCATTTGCTTAGTCTGCGACCCCCTGAAGCATAGGGATCTTCTCCCTCGTGTACCCCGAGCCCCCAGCACCAGGCCTGGCATGGAGGTGGTGCTCCGTAGATAGTAGCTGATGCAGCCTGGGCTCTGCCTCGTGCCCGGTGCAGTGGAAAGGGCCAGGACCCCTTCAGAAGGGGGAGCAGCAGAGACAGGAGCGGCAGCCCGCCCGTGGCTGTGTTGGCAGCGAGCCGCCAGCTTTCGACAGGCCCCCTTCATGCTGTTACTTGCGGTTGAGTCCCTGGCACCGGTGCCAAGAAGAGTCAAGCAGCCTGTCAGCCTTCCAGGAGGCTGTCTCTGCGAGAGATGGTGGTTAGAGCGAAACCAGCCTTTCCTGTTCCAGGGAGACTGATGGCACTTGGAAAGCAGGACGCCGCCCCCCCCCACCCCCAGTGTCTGTGTGGCCCTGCACACCAGGCAGGGACACCAGAGTCCCCCATCCTCCCCCCATGGCAGGACCACCCACGGCCCAGACCACCCTGGCTGGCCCACCTCCGGCACCCCCAGGCGGCCTCCCCACCGAGGTGGGCTGGCCAGTGGGTGGAAAGAAGGAAGAAGTAGGAGGCTGAACCGTATGAAGTTGCCGTTTCCATAGGTCAGGAATGGTAGAGTAGCAGCAATCTCATCAGGTTCGAGGCTTAGGGCTCCATGCTGGATGGAGAGGCTGCAGCCGCAGCCACCTTTGACATCCCACGGCAAATGGGAAGTGTGCCGTGTCCTGCGGCCAGGCTGGGACCCCTGTAGGAAGGGATGCGAGGAAATCGAGTCCGGTCCTCAAGGAACTGTGCGCTTGGGGTCCTCCTGGTGCTGCTGCATGGACTCCCGCAGAGCCCCGACCCTCCGCAGCCTCCATCAGGCACAGAAAGCACAGCGCCGGGTGCCCAAGATGAACGGGCTCATGAGAAGACCGCCATTTCTTGTAAAGTCCTCCAGCAGCCTGCCCCTCGTTCAGCTCCTCCCAGCCTTGCCTGACTAACACATTTTCCTTCTTCAGAAGCCTTGGCCTAGGGTCTCCCTCTGTTCTTCCGGGGGTTCCACACCCCTCAGGCTACCAGTTCTCCCCACCTCATCATCCCGAAATCTTATGCCAATATGGGGAACCCACAAAGCCACAGCAACACGGCCAGGGGCACCTCTAGTGGCTCTGAATACCCCACTGGCTTGTATTACCTAGAAGGTTCTGGAACCCCTTTCCAGGCCTCAGGCCTCTTAGCACCTGGTCCTGAGGCCATGACCCTGGGCCAGCCCGCCCCAAACAGGCCACTCTGCTGCACCCCTGGCCTCCGGGCCCCAGAGAACAGGATGGCCTCATGCTGCATTCCTGGCCAGACCCCACCTTCCACCTTCCTGCGACTCTCCTGCCTGAGCTGAGGTCCTTCTGTGGTTTCCCTGCCTGCCCTTCCCCATCAGAGCAGCTTGTTATTTCCTGTTGCTTTCTAGCACCTCGCACTGTGCCCTCGCCACACATCTGCTGTTAGGCCAGAAACTCCCTTGGCACGCGGCGGCATTGCCCTCTACCCAGAGAGCCGGCAGGCAGTCCTCATGCCTCCCCCAAGTGCCCAGGCAGAGAACGGCTGTGCATGTCATCAGCAGCTCCCCCTTGCTCAGACCCCTTCAGCCTGCAGACCCTCTGAGGCCAGGTTGGGGTGGGATCCCCTGGGAGCTCTGTCAGCCAGCCAGCTAGCTGGCCACACCCTCTCCTGGGTGGGGAGGGATGAGCCCTGACCTACAGAGGGGTGAGGGGTTGGGGCTTAGTGGTGGGGGTAGTTGCCGGGCCTGGGAGAGGGTAGTGCAGCAGATAAAGGTGGGATTTTAGCAGGAGGTCCCAAAAGGCCTGGGTGCCACCTTGTCCCCTTTGCCCCACCTCCCTTCGTGGCTTCAGGCTGGGAGTCCAGGTTCCAGCTGCCCTTGGTCCAGGGGGACCAAGGCACCCAGAGCTCCCATGGCAAAACAGCTGACACCTGGGAAAGGAGTGGAAGAAGGGGTGGTTTTTTCTCTCCCAGTTTCTCTGTTTCCAACCCAGAAACCTGCTTAGGGTTAGGGAGGAAAGAACAGCCAGACGCCACCCAGGACGCGGACGGCAGAGGAAACTCACCTGCTCCCCTGGCCACCGGCCCTCCTCCTCTCAGGCCTCCCACCCTATGGGCTTGTGGCCAAGAGAGCCCAGAGTCTGGAAACGCAGAGTCTAATCCCAGCTCTGCCTCTTGCTGGCTGTGTGACCTTAGGCAAGTTACTGCCTCTCTCTGAGCCTACATTTTCTCATCCGGAAAATTGAGAGTAATGTCACCGACCCTTGCAGTGTCACACGAGACTGGAAGTAATACATGCAGTGCTTAGCATGCTGTATGCAGCCAATGCCTCTGTGTCTGGCTCTCAGGAGAACAGTGCCACCCAGCCAGCTGCTGCTCCAGCAGCTCAGTCCAGCCCCTCACCCCTGGCCACAGGCTCCAGCAGAAAGGAGCCTCCCTGCTCCAGCCCCGGCCAAGGCTGCCCGTTCAGCCTGGAACCTCCATCTCCCTTTTACCGACCAGCACCTTGCTCCTTTCCTGTTCCCCTCCTCCATGACCCAGCTTGGGGACCCCTTTCAGCAGCCTTGGGACAGTGGCTTCTGCTTGCCTCTGCCTGCTTGCATGGATTTTGCCCTATTCATTCTTTCTTTGAGCATCATTTCCCTCCATTCCACCTGCTGTAATGTTCAGACATTTGCTTGGGTCCTTTGTCAGGAATTGTGCTCCAGTACCACTGTCATTATGCAAGATGATGTTTGCAAACCATATTCATTTCCTATCGCCACTGTAGCAAATTAGCATAAACTGAGTGGTTCAAACCAACAGAAATGTTTTATAATTGTGGAGGCCGGAAGTTGGGAATATGTCTCGTGGGGATAAAATCAAGGTATCAGCAGGGCTGGTCCTGGAGACTCCAGGGGAGAATCCATTCATTGCCATTTCCAGCTTTTGGTGGTTGCCAGCATCCCTTGGTTTGTGGCCACATCATTCGAATCTCTGCCTTGTTGAGCACATCACCTTCTCCTCTGTCCTAGTTAGTCAAATCTCCCTCTGCCTCCTTCTTATAAAGATACTTGTGATTCCATCTAGGGCCCACCCAGGTAATCCAGAATAATCTCTTCATCTCAGTGTTCTTAACCTAATCATATCTGCAGGGTCCCTTTTGCCATCTAAGGGAACATTCCCAAGTTACAGGGATTAGGGCATGTTCTTCTTGGGAGCCATTATTCAGCCTACCACACTGGGCTTTTGACCTTTTATTTTTAATTATCTATGCTTTTATTTTTCTGGTTCACTTCCCTATATAGTAAAAGAGCTAGTTTTCTACTTAGGGTAGTGGTCTAACATTTTTCTAAGTCACTTTTTAAAGTAAAAAGGGCAAGTTGTTTTCATTGAAAGAATGTGAAGTGCACAGCTGCGCAGGTGGAACTGATCTGTCCAACCTGGAGAAGGGAGTGTCTGGGGCATCCCTGGGGATCCTTCCTGCCCTCCTCTCAGTCTAGAGCATCTTAAGTGTGGGGCTGTGCCTCCTCCCACTGTGCCTCACCCACTCTCCTCTGCCCCTTTCCCCGGCAGCTCACCATCATCTTCAAGAACTTCCAGGAGTGTGTGGACCAGAAGGTGTACCAGGCTGAGATGGACGAGCTCCCGGCCGCCTTCGTGGATGGCTCTAAGAACGGTGGGGACAAGCACGGGGCCAACAGCCTGAAGATCACTGAGAAGGTGTCAGGCCAGCACGTGGAGATCCAGGCCAAGTACATCGGCACCACCATCGTGGTGCGCCAGGTGGGCCGCTACCTGACCTTTGCCGTCCGCATGCCAGAGGAAGTGGTCAATGCTGTGGAGGACTGGGACAGCCAGGGTCTCTACCTCTGCCTGCGGGGCTGCCCCCTCAACCAGCAGATCGACTTCCAGGCCTTCCACACCAATGCTGAGGGCACCGGTGCCCGCAGGCTGGCAGCCGCCAGCCCTGCACCCACAGCCCCCGAGACCTTCCCATACGAGACAGCCGTGGCCAAGTGCAAGGAGAAGCTGCCGGTGGAGGACCTGTACTACCAGGCCTGCGTCTTCGACCTCCTCACCACGGGCGACGTGAACTTCACACTGGCCGCCTACTACGCGTTGGAGGATGTCAAGATGCTCCACTCCAACAAAGACAAACTGCACCTGTATGAGAGGACTCGGGACCTGCCAGGCAGGGCGGCTGCGGGGCTGCCCCTGGCCCCCCGGCCCCTCCTGGGCGCCCTCGTCCCGCTCCTGGCCCTGCTCCCTGTGTTCTGCTAGACGCGTAGATGTGGAGGGAGGCGCGGGCTCCGTCCTCTCGGCTTCCCCATGTGTGGGCTGGGACCGCCCACGGGGTGCAGATCTCCTGGCGTGTCCACCATGGCCCCGCAGAACGCCAGGGACCGCCTGCTGCCAAGGGCTCAGGCACGGACCCCTCCCCTTCTAGTGCACGTGACAAGGTTGTGGTGACTGGTGCCATGATGTTTGACAGTAGAGCTGTGTGAGAGGGAGAGCAGCTCCCCTCGCCCCGCCCCTGCAGTGTGAATGTGTGAAACATCCCCTCAGGCTGAAGCCCCCCACCCCCACCAGAGACACACTGGGAACCGTCAGAGTCAGCTCCTTCCCCCTCGCAATGCACTGAAAGGCCCGGCCGACTGCTGCTCGCCGATCCGTGGGGCCCCCTGTGCCCGCCACACGCACGCACACACTCTTACACGAGAGCACACTCGATCCCCCTAGGCCAGCGGGGACACCCCAGCCACACAGGGAGGCATCCTTGGGGCTTGGCCCCAGGCAGGGCAACCCCGGGGCGCTGCTTGGCACCTTAGCAGACTGCTGGAACCTTTTGGCCAGTAGGTCGTGCCCGCCTGGTGCCTTCTGGCCTGTGGCCTCCCTGCCCATGTTCACCTGGCTGCTGTGGGTACCAGTGCAGGTCCCGGTTTTCAGGCACCTGCTCAGCTGCCCGTCTCTGGCCTGGGCCCCTGCCCCTTCCACCCTGTGCTTAGAAAGTCGAAGTGCTTGGTTCTAAATGTCTAAACAGAGAAGAGATCCTTGACTTCTGTTCCTCTCTCTCCTGCAGATGCAAGAGCTCCTGGGCAGGGGTGCCTGGGCCCCAGGGTGTGGCAGGAGACCCAGTGGATGGGGCCAGCTGGCCTGCCCTGATCCTCTGCTTCCTCCTCACAACCCCAAGAGCCCCCAGCCCGGTCCATCCACGTCTGGAGTCTGGGGAGAGGAGCAGGGTCTTAGGACTCTCAGCTCTGAGCATCCCTGGCAGGGTCTTCAACCTCTAATCTCTTCCCTTAAGCCCTGTGGCCACACAGCCAGGAGAGACTTGCCGCTGGCTCCCGCCTCATTTCAGCCCAGGGTGCTCATCCAGGGGCCCAGAACAGTCCCACCTGTGCTGCTGTGCCCACAGCACAAAGCCAGGCTTCACTCCCAAAAGTGCAGCCAGGCCCTGGAGGGTGATCCTGCCAGCAGCCCTACAGCTCCACACCCTACCCACCCATCGGCAGCCCCTCTGCTGTTCCCCAGGGACCTCTCATACACTGGCCAGGAGGCTGCAGAACGTGTGTCTCCCCCTCCCTCCAAGAGGTCCTGCTCCCTCTGCCAGAACCGTGTGTGGGCGGGTGGGAGGGCGCTCGGGGCCCGGCCCCTCCCTCTCCCTGCTGGTTTTAGTTGGTCCCTATGTTGGAAGTAAAAAGTGAAGCACTTTATTTTGGTTGTGTTTGCTCACGTTCTGCTTGGAAGTGGGGACCCCTCACTGCGTCCACGTGTCTGCGACCTGTGTGGAGTGTCACCGCGTGTACATACTGTAAATTATTTATTAATGGCTAAATGCAAGTAAAGTTTGGTTTTTTTGTTATTTTCTTTTAGACGTGTTGGAGTTTGTTTTCTGAACAGACTTTGGCTCCCTTGAGGCGGGTGGAGGATGGACTTTGGTGGTGGGATCCCCTGCAGCAAGTGTGTGTGTGTGCGCGCATGTGTGTGTGCGCGCATGTGTGTATGCATGCCTGTGTGTGTGCGTGCCTGTGTGCGTGCATGTACGCATGTGTGCGCATGCCTGTGTGTGCGCCCATGCCTATGTGTGTGCATGTAGGCATGTGTGTGCGCATGTGTATGTGCGTGAGAATGGTGTGAAGGCGGATAGAAGATGCAGCAGTTTAACAGCCACCACACATTGCTTTTGTAAAGTCACTTTTCCTCCTCACGATGAGCTGTCTTTGGAGCTTGGCAGGCCCAGATCCTCTTGTTCTAGTGACAGTGGAACACAGTCAGGGAGACAGGTGACTATGTGGTGGAGAGACATATGGTGCCCTCTGGGATGAGATGGGTGGGATAGCCTGAGATCTGGGATGACTCCCTCTCAGCCACTGCTATCAGCCTGGAGCCCCAGCTGTTGGGACTGCCTGCCACCCTCCCTGCCAGTGCCCATCTTCTCATAGCCCGGGCGGAGCAGTGGTGCTGCAGGAGGCTGCTGTCCACGTCACTGTGGGACCAGGTTTATTGGCAGCTGTGATCACATTTCATCTGTACAAACTACCCAGTGAATCAGGAAGAAATTCAGGCCCATTTTGCCGATGAAACAGACTCTGAGATTAACTGACTTGCCTAGGGCTCCTTAGCAACGGGAAGGACAACCTGTGCACCTAGGTTAGTATTGTCCTGAAGCCCCTTCTCTTCAAACTAAATGCCATGAGGCAGAATAGCAGCACAGTTAAGCCAGCCTACATCCTGGCTTCTCCACCTCCCCAGCAGTGTGACCATGGGCAAGTCACTTCACCTCTCTGAGCCTGCATGCTGTTCTCTGGAAGATGGGGGGGTGCCTGTCCCATACAGTTGTTTGGAGAGTCAGGAGTTCATTCCTGTAAATTGCTTAGGAGAGGGCGGGGCA
This sequence comes from Homo sapiens, assembly GCF_000001405.40. Taxonomy (NCBI): domain Eukaryota; kingdom Metazoa; phylum Chordata; class Mammalia; order Primates; family Hominidae; genus Homo; species Homo sapiens. Next base: position 93,042,386 of record NC_000015.10, on the reverse strand, counting down.
CACATGGCTTGTCTGGTCGTGGGGAGGGAGGGGGTGGTATTATCCCAAAGCAAGATAAATCAGTTAAGGGGAGAAGGAAAGGGGCGATACAGACCCTGGACTCTTGGGAGAGGTGAACCTGCAGGCTAGCAAGGGGAGGAGTCCCAAGAGTGGCCAAGTTCATTAATCCCAGGCAGACCAGGAAGGCTGAAGAAAAAGGAGAACTTTATTTTATTTTTGAAATGGAGTCTGGCGTCTTGCTCTGTCGCCAGGCTGGAGTGCAGTGGCACCATCCCAGCTCACTGCAGCCCCTGCCTCCCAGGTTCAAGCAATTCTCCTGCCTCAGCCTCCCAAGTAGCTGGGACTACAGGCACACACCACCACGCCTGGCTAATTTTTTGTATTTTAGTAGAGATGGTGTTTCACCATGTTGACCAGTATGGTCTTGATCTCCTGACCTCGTGATCCGCCTGCCTTGGCCTCCCAAAGTGTTGGGATTACAGGCGTGAGCCACCACCGTGCCCGGCCAAAAAAGGAGAACGTTCTAAAGCCCTGTTCTTGCAGGGCTCCCAGAGAGAACACGGGAGTTGGGTTTGGGAGGCAGGAACCAGACTGGAAAGGACAAAACGTACCCAGCATCTTCCCTGGCGGCCGGAACCGTCACTACAGGCCCCGTGCCCTTAGCAGTCCCAGGGACAGAGCGACTCAGGGAGGCAGCAAGGAGGAGCGGAGCCATTGGTGCTCGTCCGGCACAGAGAACAGTTCCTGAGAAGCCAGGGCACACAGAAGAAAAAGAAAAAAGAAATCTCTACTAGACGAAAATGCTAAATGGCACTAGCCACAAAGTATTCTTGGTTTGGAATTTTTTTTCCAGGACCCTAAATGTAACCGGCTGGAATTCTTTCCCAAGTGCCATGCTACTTACTACTGGTTGCCCTCACGAGCATGGAAATGCCGTCGTGAATATGGAACACAGCATCCTGAGCTAAAAGATTCCCAAGAAGCAGCTTCATCTTGCAGGACGGGCTAGGTTGGGAGCCTCTGGAGGTTCCTGGCTGCCAGCTCCGCGGAGGCCTGCGGCCTGGAGGTAAATGCATTAGCACACGGAGGTGGGCGCCTCTCCCCGCCCCATCCTGTCTCACTGATGTGTTGCCGAGAACTGGAGTTCTTGTTTAGCTAACCAGAATGTGCAAGGCTATAGGACAGGAGAGAAATGGCCTTTAAAACAAATGAATGAGAGTCACGATGAAGGGGGCAGACGGGGGGGTGAAAATCATTACCAGAACACTTGGGCAGAGACCCGTCAGAGCCAGGCAGGAGACAGTCATCAGAGCTGTGCCAGCAAGTGGCATGGAGCAGGGGTGGCACTTGGGCTCGGGCTGCAGGCAAACTTGGCGTCAAAACTGGCTCAACCCGTCGCGAGCTGTGTGGTCTCCTTGGGATTTTTTGAGCCTTAGATTCCTTATTTGTAAAATGGATTTGTGAGTCTCCACCTCCCGAGGTCAGTATGGAAATCCAGTGAGCTAACACTCGTCAATGGCCTCGCACATGGCCCTGGCACCACGCATGGAGGCCGCCAAAAGTGGCCGCCTCCTCTCTGCAATTGCATTTATTTATCCATTTGATAACTCTATTGGGTGTCTACCCAGCATTGTTCAGGGGGGTGTGAGGGGCTACCGCAATGACCCAGACAGACTGCTGTGCATTCTTATTGGAAAGACAAGGCAATAAACCACAGTTACAAAACCCAGGGTCCCATGGTAACGAGCTCCACAGAGAAAAGGGAAGTGGGCCAGAGGTTCCGAGAGACACACATTTTGGATTGCAGGAGGGTGAGAAGGGGCATTCATCTGTGGTGGGGTTAAGGGGAGGCCTCCGACTAGCTCACCTGCATGAATTTCAGGAACAAGCCATGCAGAGCCGGACAGAGCATTCTGTGCAGAGAAAACAGTGTAACAGCCCTAGAGCAGCAGCAGCAAAGGGGGAGTTTAAGGGATGGTGGGAAGCCACTGTCACTGGACAGTAGCAAGTGGACAGACCAGGGGTCCCAGGTGAGGCCACAGAGCAGCCAAAGTACTGCAGGGCTCTCCGGCTCCGGGAGGACTTGATGTTTGACTCCAGTTGCCAGAGGAAGCCGTTCACGGGCTTTGAGTGTAGGAATGATGTGTCCGACTTGGGTCTTTTTATTGTTCTTTTTTAGAGACAGGGTCTCACTCTGTCACCCAGGCTGGAGTGCAGCGGCACAATCACAGCTCACTGCAGCCTCCACTTCCTGGGCTCAAGCAATCCTCCCACTTCAGCCACTCAAGTAGCTGGGATTACAGGTGCCTGCCGTCACACCCGGCTAATTGTTAAATTTTTTTGGAGAGACAGGATCTTGCTGTTTTCCCAGGCTGATCTTGAACTCCTGGGCTCAAGCGAGACGTCTGTTTCAGCCTCCCAAAGTGCTGGGATAACAGGTGTGAGCCACTGGGCCTGCCTTGGCTTGGGTATTAAAGGAATTGTTCTAGTTACTATATGGAGGTGACTTGGGGCCGCTGGGGAAGAAAGAGGAAGTCAGGAGCCAGTCTGAGGCAGTGGCAATGCAGCGATTATCAGAAATAATGGGCTCAATGATAGACTGGATAAAGAAAATGTGGCACATATACGCCATGGAGTACTATGCAGCCATAAAAAGGGATGAGTTCATGTCCTTTGCAGGGACATGGATGAAGCTGGAAACCATCATTCTCAGCAAACTAACACAAGAACAGAAAACCAAACACCGCATGTTCTCACTCGTAAGTGGGAGTTGAACAATGAGAACACATGGACACAGGGAAGGGAACATCACACACTGGGGCCTGTCAGTGGGTGGGGGGCTGGGGGAGGGAGAGCATCAGGAGAAATACCCAATGTAGATGATGACGGGTTCATAGGTGCAGCAAACCACCATGGCACGTGTATACCTATGTAACAAACTTGTGCGTTCTGCACGTGTACCCCATAACTGAAAGTATAATCATAATTTTAAGAAAAGAAATGATGGCCTTTGGGGTCTAATAAGAAGGTGGGGCTGACAGGGCTTGGGGAGAGAGCGAGCTTGACAGGAGACCACGATGTCTTCCCCAGGGGTCTGAGCACCTGGGGAAATGGTGGTGCCATTTACCATGACTGGAAAGATCATGGGAGGAGCAGGTTTGGGACACTGAAGGCCCGAGAGCCCCTGGCAAACCACCAGTGTAAGTCCAAGAGTCCAAAAGCTGAAGAACTTGGAGTCCAATGTTTGAGGGTAAAAAACAGCCAGCATGAGAAAAAGATGAAGGCCAGAAGACTCGTCCAGTCTAGCCCTTCCACATTCCTCTGCCCGCTTTTATCCTAGCCTCGCTGGCAGGTGATTAGATGGTGCCCACCCAGGTTAAGCGTGGGTCTCTGTCTCCCAGTTCACTGACTCAAATGTTAATTTCCTTTGGCGACAGCCTCACAGACACACCCAGGAACGATACTTTGCATCCTCCAATCCAATCAAGTTGGCACTCAATATTAAACAGTTTCGGCCGGGAGCGGTGGCTCACGCCTGTAATCCCAGCACTTTGGGAGGCCAAAGCGGGCAGATCACTAAGTCAGGAGATCGAGACCATCCTGGCTAACACGGTGAAACCCCATCTCTACTAAAAATACAAAAAATTAGCCAGGCGTGGTGGTGGGCGCCTGTAGTCCCAGCTACTCGGGAGGCTGAGGCAAGAGAGTGGCGTGAACCCGGGAGGCAGAACTTGCAGCAAGCAGAGATCGCACCACTGCACTCCAGCCTCCAGCCTGGGCGACAGAGCAAGACACCGTCTCAAAAAAAAAAAAAAAACAACTAACAGTTTCGTTCATTAAGGCAATGTCCATGGGGCAGCTCCTGCATGCCACGCCACCCCTGCCCTGACATACTCCCAGGCTGACCAGCCAGAACTGGGGAGAGGGCATCTTGAAGAAACAGTCCACCCTCCGCCCTCGCATACCTGTGTCTCCCAGCAGACAAGACACACAAGGGCAGGGACTGCACTTTCCTGTGTGCAAATCTCAGGTATGGTCCAGAAATCACATCTCTTTGGTCTGATTGGCCTTACTTACCAAACCCTTGAAACAATGGAAAGAAGCTTGCTGCAATGGGAAGACCCCTGCCCCCCAAACCCTCTAACCAGGAGTCTACAGACCTCATTCCGTGGAAGTTCCCATTGTCCCCTGGGAAACCACCACCTTCTGAATCGGCACAGCCAAGGCCCCCAACCCTGCTATCAACAGCTTTCCTTAGCCACCTTCCCCATCCTGCAGGGCTTTTCAACATTTCGACTTTTTAATCCTTCCCTCCCTAAGATATAGACATGGTGTTAGTAGCAGAACCCTGAAGGCAAAGGAACAGAAACTAACACTCTCAGAAAGTCCTAGCAGGATGGTCTGAATTAATAGACAGCTGCAGGCAGCCAGTGTGCAAGGCACGCTCGTAATGTCAGTGGCGTTCCGGAATGAGGGCTGTGATCCCAGGCAGCCCAGATCCCAAGGCGAAAACATTCATGTCGCCCAGCATCACCCTGTCCTTGCCCAGGGTGACCCTGAGACGGCACTTGGATTCTTCCACATCTGAACTCAAACCTGCTCCCTCAGCTCTCCCCAGCAGGAATTGGAGCCCTCTCCAGGCCGTTCAGCCAAAGCAGAATGTGTCTGGCCAAGCAGATCTGCCCAGAGAAGAACAAAGACGTGTTCAGACACTGTCTGGGGAATTGGTTTTGAGCTCACTCTGAGCTCCATCTGTGCAACAAGGCCAGCGTCAGCTGTTACAGAGAAGGGGCTTGTGGCAGTTTATTACCCTGGTGAGCTGGCTCGGGGCCATGCTGACCGCAGGACTGTAAAGGACATAAGGCAGTTGGCAATATGGGAAGCAGCAGTCCCCAAAGCACCCCGTCAAGGAAACGATGCAAGAGCTCTGTCCACTGGACCAGCCCCACCCTACCCCGCCACGCCCTGGCCTAGGGGGAGGGACCTTGTGTTTCACGGGCCTGGATGGCCAGGGATGGACAGTGGCATGGGCACAGACACACCCAGACCGAAGGAAGGGCCCGGGCTCCAGAACCAGACCCGATCCAGGCTCCCAGCTCTGTCACCTACTGGCTGCATGAAAAGGGTGGGTTTTCCTTGTTTTGCAGCCTCAGCTATCTCAGCTGTGAGGGAACAATGACGCCACCTCCCTCACGTGGCGGTCCTGAAGATGAAATGTAATGCATGCAGCGCGGCGGCCGGCCCACCGTGTGCTCTTAGTAACTGGCCGCTGTTCTCTTCAGCCCTCCCGTTACTGACCACCTCGAGGGCACCGTTCCTCCAAGCTGACCATTTCCTGCCAGTCACCCACTGCCCAGCTCGCCCAGCCATGGAGTGGGCTCTGGTCCACGTGCATGGTGAGCTGCCATCTTTGTCGTCCTCTGGACACCACGTCTACCTCCTTGGGAAATAGAAACGAGTCCTGCATTGCTTTGTCAAATTTCACAAAAACCCTAGAAAGCAGATATTGCCCTGGTTTACAGACGGACAGACAGAAGCAAAGAGAAGCCAACTGACCCACTCCAGGTTACAAGCAGGGTCTGGTAGGAGAGCACGCGTCCACCCCACCGCTCACTGCGCCCACCTACTCCTCGCTTGAGGGCAGAGAACGAGCTGGGGCGGGGCGCTCCAGGGGGCACAGGCAGCCTGTGTTCAAGGCATGCTCGTGAGCCCCACAGCAGGGGCGGAGTCAAACCAGGGCTCTGGTTCTGGGGTGAGCAGAGGGTGGGGCCAGGCCCCCACTGGGAGGCTGACTGAGGAGGGGCTCAAAGGGCAGGCAGGCTCCATCAGAGCGGTTTGATGAGCAGGGCCGCTGAGTGGCCCTCAGGTCAAGGCTGGGGCCGGGACCACCAGGGACCAGGTCTGCGGGGCCAGGGGTCCCTCCCCAGGGTGGAGCAGGAAAACTCCGGCAACCGCCTTCTTGAGTGGACTTGACCTTCCCTTTCTCTGCTAATGATCTCAGATTAATCCCTTAAGGCAAGTGCCCCAGGGTGGGTGTTGGTTGCATAAAACAAGAGGAGTCCTTCTTCCCTTCCTTCCTGGCACAAACATTTGTAGGCCACCCCCGATGTGGCTGGTCGTAGTCTGGATTTGGGGGCACATTCAGGCATTCAACAAATACGTCATGAGGCCCCGTGATGAGCTGGGGGGCTATGCTTGATGTCGGCAGTACAGCTGTGGTCGCTCGAATGAATGTGCCCGCCCTCACGGGACTGACCTCTAGTGGTGAGAGACAGACACTAACCGAGTCACATGTGTGATTACACGTGTAATCATACTTACATATGTAACAACACGAGTTACACGTGCAGTGTGGGGAGGGGGCCCTTCACGGTGACCAGCCCATCAGGGAAGGGGATGCGGGTGGCAGAAGGAAGCGGCACACCCTTGTCCTCACGGAGCTCACAGGAGGTTCTCTGACCCTCATCTTAAGCCACAGGCTGTGTCTGAGCCTCACTGCCCTAGCTATCAACTGGGTGCAGGACTAGGCCTTAATCACTGGGCAGCGGGAAGAACTACATAAGCTCATACTGGCGCAAAGCCCCTTGGGAGACCGCAGGGAAAGCCATTGCATGAGGTGGTGACAGGCTCGGCCTTCAGAGTCGGGCTAGAATCTGAGTTCTGACAATGATCCCCGCCTTGACCCATCTCTCCTCAGGCCGCCCTGAGCCTTCCAGTTAGGCCTGGGCTTTGGGCTTCCGTGTTTGTCTCTGGATTGTTCGGTTTTAGCAAGAGTCCTGCTAAATTGGTCTTGCTGGAATCCTCCGCCCTCCACATCTGATTGCCCTTCCTGTCTGATCGTGGTCTTCATGCCCCACGGCCTCCAGGGGACGTCTGATCACCTGGCCTGCCTTCAGCAAGAATCCCCCCAGGTGTTTCCTCTTAAGAGGTTTTCCATCCACTGAGCCCACCCTGCTCCTTGGCCATCAATTCCCACTTGCCTGTACTGTATTCAGAGGGGACCCCAATCTCTCTTCCCAGCTGCAGCGGTCCCTGTCCAACACTGCCCCCCACCTCAAATAAAGTCTTTCTTACTGTCTTTAACATATGCCGTCAATAAAGTTTTAGCAGATCCAATTCCCTGCTCTGTGATCTTAGGCAAGTTACCTAACGTGTCTGGGCCTCAGGATCCTCAGCTGAAAAATGAGATAAATGCCACTCCATAGGATTGTCGGGAGACTAAATGAAAAAAAAAAATAATGCAACAAAGCAACAGGCCCAGAGCCTGGTGCCCAGTAAGCCTCGGTAGAAGGTGGCTTCTTTGCACAGGCCCATCTCATAGGCAGCCTTGTTTACCCACAGGTCTAGGTCATCAACAGCTGGGTTCCCAAACACCTATAATGTACAGACTGTCTAGGGGCCAATACTCCTCCAGGCCTTCCAGGGCTGCTTCGAGTCAATTTTATTATTCATAAGGCTAGGTATAAACTCTTTGTAATTATTTCTCCTTTCAAGTATAAAATCAAGACACATTTACCAATCAAGGCTAAACAAAACTACAAAACCAATAAAACTCAAATGAACAGCATTCATTTAAAGTAGTGGATGATGTTCTGCAGACACCAAATAGGCTGTCTCATGGGAGGAAGGAGCGGCTGCCAGGACCCAGGTTCTTCGGAGCTCAGCGCCTGTCCTGGGTGCCAAGCAGTGCTTTAGCTCCCTTCTGCTTGCCACTCAGGCCCTGTGACAACCGTCAGCACGTTTCCCCCATCCTCCTGGGGTCAAGCAGCACTGACCCCTTGGCACTGATACAATCCTAAGTCGTGGGTCCCTCTTCCCTCCCTCTCTTCCGAATGCTCCAGGATTTCTTTAAATTGATTTTAAAAGATGTTCATTAAAATGAAAACATAGGCGGGGCACGTGGCTCACGCCTGTAATCCCAGCACTTTTGGAGGCCAAGGTGGGCAGATCACTTGAGGTCAGGAGTTTGAGACCAGCCTGGCCAACATGGTGAGACCCCATCTCTACTAAAAATACAAAAATTAGCCGGGCGTGGTGGCGCATGCCTGTAATCCCAGCTACTCAGGAGGCTGAGGCAGGACAATCACTTGAACCTGTGAGGCAGAGGTCGTAGTGAGTCAAGATCGTGCCACTGCACTCCAGCCTGGGAGACAGGAGTGAAACCCTGTCTCAAAAATTAGTAATAAATGAAATGAAAACAAAATGGTTTAAATTCTTCCAGAGACCTCTAAGAACCATCCTCCCCACCATATATCTGTAGTCCCACGTTTGGGAAGTACTAAATCAGTATAACTGGGTAGGGATTCTTTTATCTGATTAGTATTTGCTTCCACTGTCAGAGCAGGGCTGAGAAAGTGAAGGAGACAACAAGCACTCCAGGATTGGGGCAGAGCGATGTGGGATGGGGTCCAAAGAAGGTGAAGATGCCCTGTAGTACGGGTCAGCAGGAGCCTAACACAATGTGGAAAGAGGTGGCCCCAGATGAAGCCAGGGGGACCACAGAGGTGTCACTGCCAGCCTGTCCTGGTCCAGGGAGGGCAGGCATATGGGCTCCACCTCCGGCCAGATCACCAAGCATTAGCCAGGCCTTGCTGAGGATGCGTATACCCTGGAGGACCACAGTAATGAGGGTTCGCCCCACATGGTGCTAGCATGTGCCAGGCTCTGTTCTCTCATCAGGAAAATAACACTGTTCTCCCAGGATTACAGGTGCAGACGCTGAGGCCCTGTAAGATTAACCACCCAGGCCCGGTCACAGCAGCCAGGATGCAACCCGATTTGAAGGTGAGCTGTCTCCAGAGCCCATGCTCTCAGCCTGCCTGCAGTGAGGGCCCTGGGTCTCCACGCTGGGCCTTGAGTCCTTCTTGTGCGAGCTACTTGACGCCGCACCGTGCTGCTGCTGCCCAGACCTCCCCACCTCCCCACCTCCCCGCAGTGCAGAGCCTGGGCCTGATCCTAAGCAGCTAGGGCCACGAGCCCATGAGTCCAGCACAGCCATGTAGATGCTAAAATACTAAAATAACACCAGGATATCAGCAAACTCCCCCTATTTACTACTTGCCCCAACCCCCTAAAGCCCCATCACCACTCCAGCTCAGCGGCAGGAAGGTCCCCTGACTCTTCCCACAGTCCAACAGAAAAAGGGATAACATCAAGTCCAGCAAGGAGTCTTAGACAGCCGCTCTAAGCTAGGACCTGTCTCCTGTCTGCTTTAAATATGCCCCCTCGTCTGCGAAGCCTGGGGAGCAGGGACCTGAAGTCTGGCTGAATTCCGAGCCTCCTCAGCCCCCAGAGAAGGTAGCACCCGCTTTGGCTCCTCTGGGCACCCACAAGAGAAGGCTCCAAGCGCAGCAAGTGCCTCCAGGCCACTGTTTAGCCAGGGACCAGGGCACCCAGACACAATAAGGAATGAGCCTAGAGGACCTGGTACTGCGTTCACCCTGGAACAGTTTCCCAGCCCCCTGTGTGTCTGGAACTGGTGGGTTCTTGGTCTACACTAACTTCAAGAAAGAAATCGCGAACCCTCGCAGTGAGTGTTACAGCTCTTAAGGTGGCGCCTCTGCAGTTTGTACCTTCTGATGTTCAGATGTGTCCGGAGTTTCTTCCTTCTGGTGGGTTCGTGGTCTCGCTGGCTCAGGAGTGAAGCTGCAGACCTTCACGATGATTCCTACAGCGCTCAAGAGAACCCGAGTGGGTTGCCAATGCCGGCTGGGGCAGCCTGCTTTTATTCTCTTATCTGGCCCCACCTACATCCTGCTGATTGGTAGAGCCGAGTGGCCTGTTTTGTCAGGGCGCTGATTGGTGCGTTTACAATCCCTGAGCTAGATACAAAGGTTCTCCACGTCCCCATCAGATTAGTTAGATACAGAGTGTCGACTGGTGCACTCACAAACCTTGAGCTAAACACAGGGTGCTGATTGGCGTATTTACAATCCCTGAGCTAGACATAAAGACTCTCCACATCCCCACCAGAGCAGCTAGATACAGAGTGTCGATTGGTGCACTCACAAACCCTGAGCTAGACACAGGGTGCTGATTGGTGTTTTTACAATCCCTGAGCTAGGTATAAAGACTCTCCACGTCCCCACCAGACTCAGGAGCCCAGCTGGCTTCACCTAGTGGATCCCGCACCGGGGCTGCAGGTGGAGCTGCCTGCCAGTCCCGCGCGGTGCGCTCGCATTCCTCAGCCCTCGGGTGGTCAGTGGGACTGGGCGTCGTGGAGCAGAGGGTGGTGCTCGTCGGGGAGGCTCGGGCCGCACAGGAGCCCATGGAGTGGGTGGGAGGCTCAGGCATGGTGGGCTGCAGGTCCCGAGCCTTGCCCCACGGGAAGGCAGCTAAGGCCCGGCGAGAAATCGAGCGCAGCGCCGGTGGGCCGGCACGGCTGGGGGACCGAGTACACCCTCCGCAGCCACTGGCCTGGGTGCTAAGTCCCTCATTGCCCGGGGCCAGCAGAGCTGGCTGGCTGCTCCGAGTGCGGGGCCCGCCAAGCCCACGCCCACCCGGAACTCCAGCTGGCCTGCAAGTGCCGCACGCAGCCCAGGTTCCCGCTTGCGCCTCTCCCTCCACACCTCCCTGCAAGCTGAGGGAGTGGGCTCCAGCCTTGGCCAGCCCAGAAAGGGGCTCCCACAGTGCAGGGGGTGCTGAAGGGCTCCTCAAATGCCGCCAAAGTGAGAGCCCAGGCAGGGGAGGTGCTGAGAGCAAGCGAGGGCTCTGAGGGCTGCCAGCACGCTGTCACCTCTCACCTGCACCTGTGGAGGCAGGAAGCGGAGCTAGAGAGGAACAGAACCTGGGTTTTCCGAGGGAGCCTCGTTCAGGTGGGGGCGCCAGGGGCTCTGACGGCATCTGTGGGATGCCTGGGGAAGACACCAGCAGGCATGGAGATGGGAACAGCAGAGCCAGAGATGGCCGGAATTGATTCTTGAAGACCACCAGGTGCTCAGCGGGCAGATGGAGGTGATGGAGGAGGAAGAAAGGGACCATGCCCTAGAGGCGGAGCTGGCCTCCTCCACCTGAGGCCGAGAGCAGCTGGGGCTGGTTGCAGTGAGGGGACTCAAGAAGGTTCGAGTGGCCAGCAGGGGCAGGTCACAGAGGGCCCCAGACCCAAACCAGGGCGCTTGGACATTAAGGTGAAGGTCACCGAGAACAGCCGGTGATGCCAGGGGGGCCTTGTGGCTCAGAAGGGTCCCTACAGTTGCCCCTCCCAGGTGGGAGGAAGGAGAGGCTGGACTGCAGAGCAGGACCCCCTGTGCGTCCCCGCACAAGGGCTGGAAGTAGGGATGAAGGAGGCTGGGGACGGGGCAGCCTGTCCCCTCGCGTCCCCTGCTCTTGGAGGGCAGTGAGGCTGCCTCTCCCTGCAGCCTCTGCCCCTCTCTTCCCCGTCCGTCTCCCTTCCTGCGGAAGCCACGTGGCTCCACATCTCCTGGGGTGTGGGGGGCTTTGTTGTGGGCTCCAAGGGGGAGAGACCCACCCGGGCAAGGGAAGAGCCCGGAACCTTCCCTGGGTTGGGTTTAGGTGTTGGGTGCCGGGCAGGCTGTTTGTGGAAATCTGCTGCCCTCTGCAGGATGGTTCTAGAACCACATTCGCTCAGGGGCCCTCAGTCTAGGCTTCAGAGAGTGGGAGCTGATCCCAAACACCGCACAGGCCCCAGTGCCACCCTTTGATCATGACAGCTGCCGAGCCCACCTGACATGCACCTCAGGGACCTCACTTGTCCCTGCCCAGCCTGGTGAGAAGCTGTCAGTATCTATTTGTAGTTAAGGCTTGGAGATAGAGAATGTGCTCCACAACACCAGCTGGTAAGAGACAGAGCCAATGTTCAAATCCAGTCTGTCCAGCCATGCCCGGCACCCACCCGCTGGCCCACGTGCCTTCCTGACCGCCCATCCTCATCGCCAGGGCTTGGCCGTCTGAGTAGGGGTTGAAGTTTGCCCAGATCCAGGATTTTCACGACCCTGTCCCTCTACCTCTGGCTGTTTTCTCCCTGGCACTCATGTGACGTTTGTCCTCTTACTGTTTGCTTCTCTAGGGCCCGCCCCCAACCCCTACCCCAGCTAGAATACCAACTCCAAGGGGCCAGGGCCCTTATCCTCCTGGTTCACTGCGCGGGTCCAGCTCCTGGAGCAGGACCAGCCCACAGGAGGGGCTGGAGACCTGGTTCAAGGAAAACGTCCTCTCCCATAACTGTCTGGTTCCAGCAGTGTCTCCCCCATGAGACTATGAGCTCCTGGGGGTTCTAGTCCCTGCTGGGCCTTCCTGCTGGGGTTTAGTCTCCCCGCACAGCAAGCTGCGGCTTTCCAGAAGCCCTGGCCAATGGGGCTCCAAGAGGGCAGCTCGCTTGTCTTGCAGTCTCTGGAGTGGGAGGTGCTGGGCCCGGTGCTCACCGGGCCTGCCCTCCAGGCCGGGCAAGCTCTGTCCTTAGTCTGCCTCAACCCATCCAGCTGCCCTCTGACTCAACCCTCTCCACCCATTCCCCAGCCAAGGACTTTGAATGCTGTCTCTTCCAGGTCGCCCTTAGGGTTACAAACCTTTTCCTTTTCCACTGTGCACACTCTCACTTAAAAACCGCATGAACCCAAGAAGCGGCCTCCTTCCTTTGCAGGTGAAGATGCAAGGTGATCACCCAGCTGAACATGGGGAGGGACCACATGGGGGCAATGCGCTGACTCGGGAGGCCCCTTTACAGCCCCCCAACGCCCCGAGGGCCACCACAGTGCCTGTGGTTAACGGGGCCCGTGTTTTAGCAACAATTCCTTCTTAGGTCACTAAAGAAATTAAGAGGAAGCTCACGTGTGATGTTCCGGAAGTGGATATTGTTCTGCCCATCTTCGAGGTAAGAAGCCTTTAGGCCATGGACTGGTCCATGTTCCCACACAAAGCCAGACAGCAGGAGGCTCAGCGCAAAACCAGGTGGCCTGAGCACACTGTCATCCACCACATCACACGCCAGCAGAACTGACCAGAACACCCCCAAGACGTCAAGCCTGGGGGAGGGGCCCACCGGCAGCAGCGGGAACAGCTCCTCAATTAGTGCCCAGGTTTCTGCAGGATGGAACTTTCACTGAATCCAGCTGCACCTTCTCCTCCCCACCCGCTCACTGATCAGAACAGATTTGAGGTGGGCTGGGAGACCAAATGGGTCCCATGAGATATGACAGAAAGGACTGGTGCAGGGGGCTTCAGTTAAGGCAACGCCTCACATCAGAGCTGGTCCTGCGCCTTTAAAAGCCACAGGTTGGAATCTGGAGCCGACTCTGGTCTGGCAAACTGCAGGGACTTGGGTTTCAATAAGTGACCTTTCTGTTGGCGCTGACTGAGGAGGGCTTGCCGTGATGCCAGGCGTGCGAGGCCCTGCCAGGGAGGAGGGAGGAGGCAGGGGCCCTGGGCCGGCCGCTTCCAGTAAAAGGCAGGCGTTTTGGCAGCTGGCAGTTTCGAAGCCTTGTTGCTATTGTAAGTCATAATAAGCTGATTATTGCAGTACTTGTTCTTAAAGTTTCCCCAAATTGTTCCAGCTGAGTCATGAGTTACAACACGATTGTGAGTCGTTTCTTGATGGGCACCAAGAGCCCTCAGCTTTTCTTCGTCTTTCTCAAGAACTACGTGAACTAAAAATCCCAGCCTCCCGCTCCAGCGCGGGCCAGGGCTGGCAAGGGCCCCTGCGTCCAAGTCCCCTGGGCTGACGGAGCGGAGTCACAGCAGTTGACAGCTCAGCTCTCAGTAGACACATGGCTTATTTGGTATCAAGATTTAAGAGCTAGTCTCAAAGTCACCAAAACATTAGTGAAAATCGTGGATCTGGGCAAACTTCAACCCTTATTCAGACAGAGATCTCCGCCCGCAGGCTGTGCCACCCTTCCTCTGTCTGGGCTGCACCAGAGCTGGGCCTGCCCCTGTGCCAGAATACTAAAGCTAACGTTTGTGTCAGTGTTTCCATTATAAAATGCCACCCCCCAGACCCCATCTGTTAAATTACCCTCAAAGCTACAGGCTGGCAGACACAGTGTTATTTCCTTCAGGATAGAAGGGGTGGCCCCCCTAGGTCTCCCTGGATCCCCCCAGGCAGGACTAACCCACGGGAATTAACTACCGGTTTCGGCAACCCTGGCCCTCCCTCAAGTGCAGAGCTGTGGGCCACAGCCTGGAGTTGCTCGGCCAGGGAGCTGTTCACCTCGACGACGGCATACTCAGGAACAGCTTAGGTATCTGTGGTGTTAAGGCCGGTACGCAACAATGCAACTGGTACTGGATGGAGGGAAATGCAACTTTAAAAGACTCCACTTCACAAGCTGTCAAAACATCTGGATGTGACCCAGCAACCAACGAGGGAAGGTAGACAAGGCGGTATCTCTAGTCACAGAGCTCACACCACAATGCAATGCAACGTGTTAGCCCAATTCTAAAAATGCTCAGTAACACTTTTTAATATACAAGAATCAAAAGTACAGCAGTTTTACAATGTAGGAAAATTTAATACATACTATATAAACAACATTATTTACATCAGAAATCACTAGGACAGTGGCATTTTTCACAAATATAAATTAATTACTGTTTAGTCAACAGGTTTTAAAAGTCCACAATTTTACAATAAAGAAAAACCATCTGTCCCCAGATGAGTGGGGCACAGATGGCCTAAAGCAGCCTGGACCCTTGGCATGGCTCCCCTCGCCCAACGTGGCAGCCCTCAGAGGAGCCGGAAGACCGCTGGTGCTGGGCCTGGGCTGCTGCTCCTGCTGACAAGTGGATTTTGGTCTGTAGGATTTCAGTGTCATTGTGTGACTTCCTAAATCAACTGTGTTTGCACCGTGAGGACTGATGCAACTTTCAGACACACCAGGCCAGAATGTCTGCAGCACAGCGTGCAAAGTGTTTGGGCTTCCCTTCGAAGGGCTGAGGAATGACTGAAAGGAGAGTGAGCCCCGGGCTCTGCTGGCACCTGTCTGTCCGGCTCTGAAAGACCGCAGTGATTAGCTTGGGGTTTCACCTGGCCCTTTTCTAAGGCCATAGTGTATCATGTCAACCCTTGTTCACGTGCAGGTTTTAGGTGATGCTAACTCCCTCTTTCTCAACCTGTTATTTCTACCAACAATGAAATCTTTCAAAGCCAGACTCCAGGGAATACCATCCTCACAGATTCCTGGGGCAGCTTCTCCCATTCACAAGTGAGAGAATTTACCTGTGCAAATTTTTTATTTAGGCATATAATATTCATACTGATTTAAATCAATGAAGAAATGCTTCCTTTTTCCCAGCACACTCTTCAAACATACTCCAGCACCTAAAATAGTTGTCTAATGGGGACACTGTAATTTTAGAATCAATGTAACACTGATCTGGCCGATACTGCCTTTTGCTACTTCATATGGCACTGAGAGTCCTAAATGTGAACAAAAGGAAGTTTCTTTTTCCTCACGATAAGACATCTCTGGGCATAACTCACATCTCCTATCAGCAACTCAAGAGAGAAGCCCTGATGACTGTGGAAACCCTGATGGAAATGCAGGACCTCTGGTGACTCCTTTGCCCCTCCTTTCATTCCTGAAGGACACTACCCAACTCTCTGCAGGGGCTCACCTCCTTCCCACCCCATCTCCCAACGCTCAAGGGCTCGACAAGCCAACCTAACCTTCCTCTTTGGCTTGGGCAAGGCAATCATGGGCTAGAGTCAGTATTATCGGCAAGAAGCTCCATCTGTGGTTTCCTCATCACTGTGTGGCCTAAGTGGAGACACAGGCCCTGCCCTCTCCACTGAGCGTCACGGCAGGCCCTCCATGGGAGGACTGTGGCCAGGTGGCTCATGCAGTCACCGGAGCTTTGCTTCAGGACATGTGTGCTACAAGTCCAGGCTGGACAACCCCAAGAACTGTGAGGGTTCAGCAAGCGGGGTGGGTCCACTGAGCTCTCAACACAAGCTTCCGGGACCCAGACCCTCATCTGGAAACCACACAGGCCAGCCCTGCGATGCTCTGTGTAGCAGGGAGCAAGGGTCACACCACAGCCACATCTGCTTCATTCGGGGGATCCAACTTGGCATGTCTTGGTAAAGGCATTCATGGTGCTGCCCAGGACACCAGCAAGCACTGAAGTCCTCACAAGTTACTTCAGGAGTTTAACCCTGCACACGCCCAACAGAAGGGTTTTCACCAGCTCTGAGCCTGGACACTTACAGGCACACTGTATGTTCAAGTCAGTTATTCTGTCTCCATCTAGAAAGGCCTTTGGATACTCTTAACAATACTGGCAATCTATACTGAGAATAAAACTGAAGGCCCCAGCATCAGTCAATTGAAAAGAGCCTGCTTAATTGATGCAACCAAACTTGCTTCCTAAACCTGACTCAGTTCAACTCTCGTATGATTTTTACTATCTATAGCTCAAGTCACTGTGTCTTTGGATGCTCCTTGTTTGGGAAAAAGTTTAACTTAGGTTTATACCTGATTATATTCTAAGAGAAACTGAATTCAATTCTAATGATCTCCAACTACAGTAGAAACTTGTTCACCACAGGTACTTATTTCCATCTGCCCACCACATGATGTGTGATTCTGTCTACTCTATTTCTTCAAGCTGTGCAAAGGGAAGGAAATGCAGCAGGAAGTGTTGACCTAGCGCAATACTGAAAGTTTCCCCCACTTGCTGGCACTACTGAACCCCACATTAGAAGCCTGTTCACTGCCTGCACCAGGACCCCCACCTTTGTGATTGCAACAAGTTGGTCAGCAGGCCTGCCTCTGCATCCCCTTCTCCAGGTCCTGTAGCTTTCCTTCTCACCACAGGAATCAGAAATCCACCAGGGATTCCAGTTCCCTGGCCACACTACTCCCCACCTACCCCACCCTACCCCTCACTCAGCCTACTCCCCAGTCAAGTAAGACCCATGCTGGCATCAGTGTTGCCTCACTCACAGTACTCAGTCAGCCAGAGAAACCTACCTTCCCTGGCACAGTGGGAAAAGGAGGCCCACTCAGGAGACCAAAGCTCTGAAATGTACAAAGACAGTGTGGGAAAAATTAGTGTTGGCAGAGATGAAGCAGTTGTGGAAGCTGTTGCCCTCTCTCTACTTCTCCACCCCAACCCCACCCACAGGTTTCACATAATGAGGCCGAGTGTATCACTTCTCCCAAGAACACATTTGAGGGGTGTACCTGCTCCCCTTCAAGTCCTATGCTTGTCCCCACCCGCTTGCCCCAACTCGCCACTCCCCATCAGCAGCATCCATCATGTCAGAGTGAACCAAATCAACCAAATCACACACTGTTCACCAGGTCCCAGCAGCCTCCATGCACCAGTTCCTGCCCCGACCATGCACTAAGGTCCTGGGAACACTGACCCTGGCAAGAAAACATTCATGACTCTGAAGATCCCCTGTTCCTTGACTGGGGAAACACATCCCAGTGAAGCTGGTACACACACAGTCAGCTCCTCCTCCAAGTGCCCGTCAAAGTGGGAGGCCAGAACTAGGCTGGAATGGGATGGGGTGCCAAAGTGCAGGAGTGGTGACCCGAATCAGAGCTGGACCCAGTGAAAGGCCTCCCATTCCTTGAAGTGCTCCTTCAGCCAGTGAGTTGACAGCAGCAGCATGTCCAAAACTCCACTTACTGGTCTAGATAACCGGCTACTGTAGGATCAGACCAAAAATATCCACGTGTTTGGTGACTCTTACTCTCTCCTTTACGAGCTGTCCTTTATGTTTTCCGAACATTCCAGTTATAATCTGGGTTGTTTTTCTGTTCTAGTGATCTCTCCAAAGGAGACCTATGATCCAGGGGTGACTTGGAATCGTGAGGAGATTTCTGAGAAGGGGGTGAGCGAGGATCTGAGACTGCAGGGTGCAATGGGGGTAGAGGCTGTTTATATTCCCCCAGTTTATCTGTGTGGAAAGAGCGGTAATGGTCTGAGGGTCCCTGGCCATGGTAGCCCATAGCGGGGCGGTGATCAGACATTCGTCGGAAATCCTGCTGGTGGTAATTTTGAGGCCTAAATTCATCGGATCTCCTCCGCTTGGAGTCATGATGGTGCCTGAAATAGAGATGCAAGGATTAGTCGAAAGACTGAAGCCAGATTCCCATCCACTTCTCTTCACTACCCACTTGGCTCTTCCTCATATACTCATATTCAAGGACAAATGCTCACATTATTAGGAATCAAAAAAATTAATAACAGAGTCATTTTACACTTATTAGCAAAATACATCCTATGAAATAAGGCTCAAGTGTGCAGTGACACAAGTACACACTTGAAAAATTACTGATGGCTTTTGCAAACTCACTCCCTTTAGGAAAAATCTGGTAAGATCCATAAACATTACCATATTCCTGGACCCAGCCCATGAGAAAAAGAGCCACAGAAATTATTTTGTAAGTTATTAATAACACCATCAACCTAAATATGCAACAAGTGAGTGACTAGTTAATAAAATTATCTTAAAAACCAACTCAGTGTGAAGAGTATTAAAATTTTTAGCTTGGACCATGGTAAACTGCTCATGATACCATTAAAAAAAGAATTACTAAAACTCAACAACAAAAACAACCCAACTCAAAAACAGGCAAAGGATTTGAACAGACATTTCTCCAAAGAAGCTATACAAATGGCCAAAAAAAACCATGAGAAGATGCTCCATGTCATTAATCACTAGGGAAATGCATGTTCAAGCCACAATGAGACTACTTCACACCCACGAAGATGGAGATACTCATTAAAAAAAAACACAAAAAAAAAACCCAGGAAATAAGTGTTGGCAAAGATAAGGAAAACCTTCAACTCTTACACATTGCTGGTAGGAATGTAAAATGGTTCAGCCATCGTAGAAACATTTTGGTGTTTCCTAAAAACGTAAAGAATATGACTAATAATTCCACTCCCAGGCACATATCCAAAACTGAAAACAGGTAGTCAAGTACCTGTACACCAATCTTCACTGCAGCATTATTCACAACAGCCCAAAGATGGAAACAACTCAAATGTCCATCAACAGATGAATGGATAAACAAAATGTGGTATATATCCACACAACGAAATATTATTCAGCCATAAGGATGGAATGAGTACTGATGAATGAACCTTGAAAACATTATGCTAAGTGAAAGAAGCCAGACACAAAAGGTCACATATTGTATGACTCTTTCTATATGAAATGTCTAGAACAGGCAAATCCAGAGAGACAGAATGCAAACTGGTGGCTGCCAGAGGCTGGGGAGAGGGAATAATGGGGAAGGATTATTTAATGGTTATAGGGTTTTCTCTGACTGATGAAAGTGTTTTGGAACTAGATAGAAGTGGTGGCTGCCCAATATTATAAATGCACTAAGGTCATTCAGTTGTTCGCTTTAAAATAGTTCCTTTATGTAATATGAATTTCACCTCAATGAAAGAAAGAGGGAGGAAGAAGTGAGCAATCTCAAGTTCCAGTCAAAATGGAATAACAGGGACTAGATTTACCATCCTGCCTGAAACAGCCAAAAGGGACAAAATGCATAGAACAGTGGTTTTCAAGACACCAGACATCAGGCAATGAAGAACAGTGATCCCTGAGGAATGGACACTAATGAAATGAGCCTTTTAACGGCTCCTGTTCACTATCATGAGATAGTCCCTCAGGCTGTGACACAGGAAGAAGGAAACCCAGAAAGACACCAGTTGGCTTCCCAAGGTGAGGGATGGGGAACCAAGGTGGCCAGAGTTCACAGGGCATGGCATGAGAGAAGACAGTGCTGCAGAGAAAGAAGTTTGAAGATCTACAGAGGGTTCCCAGGTATACAGCTGAATACTGCTTAGGATGTGCATGTGGGGAAACTACCCAAGGCCAGGGAAAGGACCACCCGAAAAGACTGAAGGTAACAGTGCCCTGTGCTCACAAAGAACTGGCATCGTGCCTGTTCTCACCAGCCACACCAAAGACCTCCAGATGGTGATACGGTTTGGGTATGTGTCCCCTCCAAATCTCATGTTGAAATGTGACCTCCAATGTTGTAGTGGGAGGTGTTTGGGCAGATCCCTCATAAATGGCTTGGTGCTGTCCTTGTGATAATGAGTGAGTTCTCTGAGTTCACGTGAGAGCTGGTGCTTTAAAAGAGGCTGGCACCTCCTCCTCTCTCTCTTGCTCCCTCTCTTGCCATGGGACGCCTACTGCCACTTCACCTTCCACCATGAGTAAAAGCTCCCTGAGGCCTCTCCAGAAGCCAACCAGATGCTGGTGCTATGCTTGTACAGCCTGCGGAACTGTGCGCCAAATAAAACTCTTTTCTCTATAAATTACCCAGCCTCAGGTATTCCTGCAAAACAGACTAACGCAATTGGGTAGAGTGCAATGAGGCTCTTTACCTTGGGGGTGGGCAATCATTAGCCCTTGACTGAGCACTGCTCTGGTTCTACCTAACGAATCTTAACAGCAAGACCTGAAAAAGGAAACTGCTTCCAAATAACCTGCAACTCATAACAAAGCTCCAGAATACTTACAGGAATACAGAAATATCCAGCACCCAACAAGGTAAATGTTACATCTGGCATCTGACAAAAATTACTAGGCACAGAAAGCACCAGGGGAGCAAGACCCACAGTGAGGAGGTATCAACTGAAACTGACCCAAGTGATAAGATTCGCAGACAAGGACATCAAAACCATTGTTATATCTGTGTTCCAGGTTTTAAAAGGTTAGACACAGAACATATATAAAAAGACCCAAAAACAACTTTCCGAACTTTTAGAACTACAATGTATAAAATGCAAAGTACACTGGATGGGCCTCACAGCAGTCTTGACATTGAAAAGGAAAGTATTAGTGAACTTGAAGAGGTAGCAATAGAAACTATCCACAGTGAAACAGAAAGCATAATTTTTTAAAAGTCAACAGAATACAAGTGAGCTGTGAGACAACTTCAAGCAAGCTAATATAGGTGTAATGAGAATCTCCAAAGAAGAAGAGAGAGTGGGGGATCAGAAAAAATATTTGAAGAAGATTGTAAAAATTTCCAAATTTTATGGAAACAATAAACCCACAGATCCAAGAAGTTCAAAAATTTCCAAGCACAAGAAACCAAGGAAAAATACACCAAGGCACATCATAATCAGTGATTTTTTTTAAAAGGAACATTATGTAAAGAGGAACAAAGATAAGGATGACAGATTTTTCATCACAAAACAATGCAAGTAAATAGCAGAGGTACATCTTTAAAGCACTGAAAGAAACTGTAAAGCCAAAAATGTATACACTCAGCAAAAACTACTTTCAAAAATGAAGGCAAAATACTTTTTCAGGCATATATACAAACACTGAAAGAGTTTATCACCAGCAGAAAAAGTCCTTCAGGCAAAAGGAAAGTGACATCAAATAGAAATACAGACCTACTAGAAGAACGCAGGGCAAGATGCCCACTGGGTCCAGACAATAGAGAAGGGTGGGAGCGAGGGGCAGTCTCCCAACGAGGTGGCAGCTACTCAGCTACAGCTCTCTGCTAATGCGGGCTGCTGTTACCAGATCTTCCAAAAACAAAGCACGACTTTGACACGTTTATATGAAATTTTCCCACTGTAAATTCAAGGTACAGTGCAAATGACGCACATCATCAGCCCAGGGAAAACCAAAGCTGCTATGAGGTTAAATTATCCAAGATTTGAAATTAGGAAATACAGATAAAACCTCTTTAGCTCTCCCTGGACTTGCTACTCTCACAATGTAAAGCTTCGGCTCATCGTACTACTGGTGGCATTGTACTGAAGTAAAGAGGGTGCAGCTTCAGAAGACTTTGACTCTTCAATTATGGGCTCGTGGCAGGTAAGGACTGTGGGCTGGTACCCATCTCGGGATCCCTGATACCTAGTGTGGCTGACAGCCTCGCACAGAGCTTAATAATTTTGGTTGTTGACTCTAATATTTTATGGCGACCTCTTCACTAGATTTCCTCAAAAGACGGCAGAAAACTCTTTTCCTGCACAGGTGAAATGTGCTCCCTATGACCCACAAAACAAAACATAAAACCTATAACCAAGACATGGGATTCGCTGTGGCTGACACATGCATGATGAGATCTTCAGTAATTTGATAGATAAATACATTCATGTATACGTCACTTTCTCCCTAGAAACAGCTCCTGGCAAAGGTTGGCACCTGGTGTCTCACAGCCTTTTGCATACCTGTCATAATAATCTCTGTGTCCCCGGTGGTCTCGGTCACTGCTGTACTGGTCATAAGGCCTCTTTCTGGACATGTTGTTGGGTCGATAGCTTCCGGAACGGTGGGCATCCATATGTCGCCGGTCCCCATAATGGTGGTCCTTGTACCAGTGCTGCTCATACTGATGGTGCCTGTCGCTTCCCCATGGTGGATTGTTGTTGCCACCACCATAGTTGAACTTTCTTTCCCTCTGCCAGTCTCCTCGATCTGCAGGAAAAGAAAGAATGATCTGATGACTGCAAGAAATGGATGAATTTCACTTTCACTACAATTTTTTTTTTTTTGGAGATGGAGTCGTGCTCTGTTTGCCCAGGCTGGAGTGCAGTGGCACGATCTTAGATCACTGCAATCTCCATCTCTTGGGTCAAGCGATTCTCGTGCCTCAGCCTCCCAAGTAGATGGGACTACAGGCACCCGCCACCATGCCTGCCCAATTTTTGAATTTTTAGTAGAGACAGGGTTTCACCATGTTGGCTAGGCTGGTCTCAAACTCCTGACCTCAGGTGATCCGCCCGCCTCAGCTTCCCAAGGTGCTGGGATTACAGCTGTGAGCCACCACGCCCAGCCTTATTTTTTATTTTTGTTTTCTTCCACACCAATCTTCTCTGTATTGTTCCAATTCTTGTAGGTATGCTGCTGAAGTAAGCACTACTTTGCTGAAGTTCAAACTGAAAGCCTGACACATGTTACAAACAGACATTAAATTTCTTTCTTCTTGGTCTTGTTGCTGCTGGCTAACGTATCAGTAATGACTCCTAAACATTCTTTCCAACAAAATTTTAAGGCAAAATTTACTACTCCTCTCCTTCTGAAATCTTAACAACTACCGCTTTTCACTCTCCATACCTGTTTAACCTTCCAATCTGTGGCAGACTCTTAACAACAAAACCAAACTAATTCAGAAAATGATACCGCTGAGTTTCACAGCTGCGAGTAATATCCTCCGGTTACACATCTAACGTTTATTTCACCTGCTGGTACCTGCTGTGCCTGGTCTCTGAAAATCTCTCCAGACTACACTCACCGATTCTATTATTCTTCCCTATTCTGCACACACACACAAAAATGGACCTCCTCCTATAAAAAAGTAATTTCTCTAACTTTGAGCTTGGATCAGTGCTCTGTCTCTTACGGATTAAGGCCAAACTACAATCCTTTTAACTTCTGTAGCCTTCCTTTTCTCCTAAGGAAAAGAATCATACTCACTTGAATCAGAAAATGTAGTGAAGACACAGAAGTCCAGGGATGGAGAGTTAAACTGTGGCTACCAAAATGTCATGTCCACCCAGAGCCTGTGAGTGTGATTTTACCTAGGTCTTTGCAGATGTAATTAAGTTAAAAATCTCTAGATGACATCATCCTGAATTTAGGTTGGGCTACAAATTCCAGGACAGGCATCCTTTCAAAATAAAGGCAGAGGGAGCTATGACAGGCTATGCATAGGAGAAGGCTATGCAAAGATGGAGGCAGAAATCGGCGTGAGTCAAGAACGCCAAGAACTGCTGGCAGCCACCAGAAGGCAGAAGAGAGGCATGGAACAGCTTTTCCCTCGGAGCCTCCAGAAGGAACCAACCCTGCTGACACCTTGATATCAGACTTCCTGGTCTCCAGAAATGTGAGAAAATAAATGTTTGATGTTTGAAGCCACCTAGTCTGTGATACTTTGTTATATACAGCCCTAGGAAACTAATACAGAGGACTAACCAAAAGGAACCTATGACCTCATGGAAAAATCCATCTTCTGTCTATAATTATGTGAAGATCAAAGACATGCCACCAAATAAGTGTCTCTACTCATTTTACTGGCCTTCCAGCTTTTTTCTACAGAGCTGAAGAACAACACCATTAAGGAAGTGCTGAGCTCAGAAACTGATAGCATTAATATGATGTACAGTCCACCAGTGGCTTAAATTCATGGCTGACCTGGGTAGATCAGATGAGAGCACCACAAAGTAAAAAACTTTTGACTATTCACCCTAAGAATTAACAAATAACAACAAAAAGAGACACCTTCTAAATATGCGAAGGATCACTTGAGGATGGCTTCATATCAAATGGAAAGTGAGATTTCTAACAGGGTGTCAATGTCTGTGGTTTTGTAGAGGTGCTTAAAACTCAAGCTAGTTCATTTTTTCTGGAGTAAATCAAAGAGATTTTCTTTCTTCTTAAACCCTCTGTGAGGTAAATCACAGGTTACAAAGTATTGAGCTATTAAAAAGATGGGTGAGGAATCCAAGGTTTAAATAAAAGAATGTATTTAGTAAGAAGTTATTGTAAAGGATTCAGAATATAAAATAAGTGACATCGTATACAAAACACAAAAACAGCCTAATACTAGAAAAAAGCCAGTATAACTGATGCAACTACATCTAAGAACAGGGAAACATTTCCCAATCATTCTGCAAAATCATTAGCTTTCTTTCCCTCAACAAAATGGTGATGAAATAATTTTGAACTCAGATTTTTAAGATTACAGAACATAGAACGTAATGCTTCCAGGCAGGGTAGCTTGTAGCAGAATTACATCCTGCCAAAAACAATGAGAAAGGGAAGATTAAAAAGAATGCGTTTAGGCCAGGCGCAGTGGCTCACGCCTGTTATCCCAACACTTTGGGAGGCTGAGGCGAATGGATCACCTGAGGTCAGGAGTTCAAGACCACCTTGGCCAACATGGTGAGACCCTGTCTGTACAAAAATACAAAAAAAAAAAAAAAAAAAAAAAAAAATTAGCCCGGCATGGTGGTGTGTGCCTGTAATCCCAGCTACTTGGGAGGTTGAGGCAGGAGAATCGCTTGAACCCGGGAGGTGGAGGTTGCAGTGAGCCAAGATCGTGCCGCCGCTACACTCCAGCCTGGGTGACAGAGCGAGGCTCCATCTCCCAAAAAAAGAAAGAAGTGTTTAAAGGCATCAAAGAGCAGCTAAAGCAATGAGGACTAGAAGGACTAAGATTCCACAGAGCAGAAAACCTCAAAGAGTTAAGAGATGACTTCTGTCACCACTGAAGAGATCAGTGATCCTGAGCACCTGCAACAGGCTAAGGATCTGGGTCTTTCCCAGGCAGGGACCACTGCTGGAGGAACAGACAACCCGCAGAGTGGGTTTTCAGATTATTTTCTGCAAAGATTATAGCAATTCACACTCTTAGCAATCGGTGTGTATTTCCCTTTTTAATTTTTGATGATCTGAATGGGTAAAAAAATTGATTAACCTATTGTTGCTTTAATTTATATTTTCCTAGTAGCAAGGTTGGTCATCTCGTCATATTGGCCATTTGAATTTTCTCTTTTACATGAACTGTCTAATTCATAACTTTTGCTCATTTTGTTTTAAAACAATGGATAAGCTCCACAGAGTTTTTTTCTAATCAAATTTCCAAAATTTTAATTCAATCTGGATTCCTTTGAGTTTTGTTTCAAAACTGCAATTTTTTTTTTTTTTTGAGACGGTCTCACTCTATTGCCCAGACTGGAGCGCAGTGGTGCAATCCTGGCTCACCGCAACCTCCACCTCCCAGGCCTAAGAAATTCTCCCACCTCAGCCTCCCAAGTAGCTGGGACTACTACGCCACTACGCCTAGCTAATTTTCACACTTTTGTAGAGACTGAGTCTATGTTGCCCAGACTGTACAAATTTTTTAATAGACAATTAAAAATTGTATGTATTTATTGATTACAATGCAATGTTTTAAAATACATATACATTATGGAATGGCTCAATCAGCCTAATTAACATATGCACTACCTCACTTATATAATACATTGTTATTAACTACAGTCACCATGCTGTACAACAGATTTCTCAACTTATTCCTCATATCTAACTGAAATTTTATCTCCGTTGTTAATATCTTCCCAATTCTCCCCTGCCCTCCGACCCTGGTAACTACTGTTCTACTCCCTGCTTCTATGAGTTTGACTTTTTCAGATTCCATACGTAAGTGAGAATATGCAGTTTTTCTCTTTCTGTGCCTCACTTATTTCACTTAACATAAATGCCCTCCAGATTCAACCATGTTGTTGCGAACGACAGGATTTCCTTCTTTTTAAAGCTGAATACTATTCGATTGTGTATATACACATTTTCTTTATCCACTCACCTGCTGATGGGCACTTAGGATGATTACGTATCTTGGCTATCGTAAATAATGCTGCAATGAATATGTAAGTGCAGGCATTTCTTCAACATAACTGATTTCATTTTCGTTGAATATATACCTGGTAAAGGGACTGCTGCATCATATGGTAGTTCTGTTTGTGATTTTTTTGAGGCATCTCTGCATTGTTTTCCATAATGGCTGCACTAACTTACATTCCCAGCAACAATGCGCTGGGTTCCCTTTCCTCCACATCCTTGGCAACCCTTATCTTTTGACTTTTTGGTACTAGCCATCCTAACAAGTGTGAAGTGATATCTCATCGTGCTTTTAATTTGCATTTCCCTGATGATCAGTCATGCTGAGCATTTTTTCATATACCTGTTGGCAATCTGTATGTCTTCTTTTGAGAAATGTCTATTCAGGTCCTTTACCCACTTTTTAATCGAGCATTTGCCTTCCTGCTACATAAGGAGCTGAGTTCCTTACACAGTTTGGATATTATCCCCTTATCAGATGTACGGTTGGTAATATTTTCTCCCCTTACATAAACTGTCTCTTCACTCTGTTGATTGCCCATTTTTCTATTCAGTTATTGTTTTGTTCTCAATTTACAAGAGCTCTTTCAAGATTAGCAGTTTTAACCATTTCACTGTCATACAGAATGTAAACTTCTCCCTCAGTCTTTTTCGTTTGTTCATGTTAGCTGGGTTCTTCTTAATCGGAAGTTGAAATAATAGTCCTGGGGGCCAGACGCAGTGGTTCACACCTGTAATCCCAACATTTTGGGAGGCTGAGGTGGGCAGATCACATGGCGCCGGGAGTTTGAGACCAGCCTGGCCAACATGGCAAAACCCTGTCTCTACTAAAAATTTAAAAATTAGCTCAGCGTGGTGGTGCACATCTGTAATCCCAGCTACTCGGGAGGCTGAGGGACGAGAATCGCCTGAACCCAGGAGGTGGAGGTTGCAGTGAGCCGAGATTGTGCCACTGCACTCCAGCCTGGGTGACAGAGCAAGACTCAGTCTCAAACAAACAAAAAAAAAAATTGGGGGATCTTTATTTCATGCTTTCTCTCATTAAGAAAAGAGAGGACAATAAAGTGTTAGAAGATAATAAAGCACAGAAGTCTAGCCAGTGTCTTTGGAAAATGAAACGGCTGTGTGAATTTTTTATCTTTTGGCACCTCTTTTAAAAACTCCACTTAATGACCTACCTGCATTACTGAAGTGTCTCTTGTTGGGGTGATTGTAGTTATCTCTTGGGTGTCCATGCATCTGTGGGCCATGGGAGGCAGGCAAATGAGGCTTCTGAGGGTGAAGGTTGTGTGAGGTATGGGACTGAGATATCAGAGAGTCCCGGCTGGAGCCTGAGGCCTCTGGACGAAATGGTTTCTTACCCCCAGTCACGTCGTCTTTCTTCTTTTGCTCCTAAAGAGTAAAAGGAAACCAAAGAAGCTCAAGATCCCAGGCTTAATTCCCCAGAGAAGAATAAAGGCTATCACCTCTAAACAGCTCCTTCTTGTCCTTCTTAAACTTCTGAACTGGCGTTTACTACCTCCTAACAAAAAAAAGGCTCATAAATTCCACTGTTAGGCTATTTGCTGGGGGAACTCAGTGGAATTTATGCTGAGTTTGACCATTACTGCTAAGTACCTGCAAGAACACATGCATAGACTGCTAGATGTCACTGTACAGGGTATGGTGTAGGCGCCCAGGCTGGCGGCACTCTCAGAGGATCATCCTGGACCATGTAAAACCAAGACTACCAACTTTCCAAGGCTAACCACAACAAACAACCCTCGACTGTCCAGTGGGAACTAACTCCTATGCCCAAGTCATCAAGCTAAATATCTGAATGTTGGAGTAACATTACTCCTTATCACACAAGTCAAATGTTTGATATAAAAAAAATCACACAATAAAAAAAATAAAGTGACCCAAATCCTAACCAGCAAGGGAATTACTGTTAATAATTTGGCACGTATTTTTCTAAGCTTTTTTTTGTAGTTATATTTTAAACAAAAATATTTGGTATTCATTTTTCACTTCATGTATTGTGAAAATCTTTCCATGTAAATACTTATTTCTACAATATTATGTTTAATAACTGATTAATACTCCCCAATATGGATATATCATGAACTACTGAATGTTTTTGTTTTCTGTATTTTTTTTTTTTTTTTTTTTTTTTTTTTGAGACAGAGTCTCACTCTGTCGCAGGCATTCAGTGATGCCATCTCAGCTCACTGCTACCTCCACCTCCTGGTCTCATGCGATCCTCCCACTTCAGCCTCCTGAGGGGCTGGGGCTACAGGCATGTGCCACCACACCCAGCTAATATTTGTAGTTTATGTAGAGATGAGGCTTCATCACGTTGGCCAGGCTGGTCTCGAACTCTCGGCCTCAAGTGATCCACCCGCCTCAGCCTCCCAAAGTGCTGGGATTACAGGCACGAGCCACCGCGCCTAGCCACATTGAATGTATTTCTTACTGTTGGGCTTCCAAGCCATTTCCATTATAAACATGTTTAAATCTCTATCTCCTTCTCAAAACTAAATTCCTGGAAGCAAAACTGCATGCTTTAGTCTTTTAATAAATCTTGCTGAATTCTCCTCCAGAAAGGTTGTGACAATGTATACTCCCACTAGTAGGATACCACTGTTTTTGTTATTCAGCTTATACTGTTTTGTTATTCATTCTGATCCCTAAATGAATGAAGTCTTTCATGATTATGTGTCCAACTTCAGACCCTCTTCCTAATTTTCACTCCCTTCTAAAGGGCCTTTCCTAACTATTTCATTCCCTCCTGGGGCCTTTCCGGACTATCCATTTATAGACTTTTTATAATGCTTATTAGTATATGATTCCTGTATGTTACTGCTATAACATATTCTTCCATGTAAAATTAAATCATCAACTACTTGAGGGTGCTGCTTCACAGGCCAACACAGCACTGGGCACAGCATAACAAATACTCCTGAGTGCTTCCCTGTCCCCAGCACCATTCTATTCCATTCTATGTGCTGAGAACACAGCAGTAGATGAGAGACATAAAATCTCTGTCTTCATGGAGCTGACGCATTAGTGGAGGTGGTATTTAATGCTCACAGATTGAACTCAATGTCCAACTTGGGTACAGCCCATGTGGCAAGTCAGCAGATCTGCAAATGGGCACACCCACACAAGGAGCACTGCCTCTGCAGCCTCCTCCATGTCACTTCTGCACCCATCCCCCTATTCCAAAGGAGAGGCAACTTCTGAGCACCTCTCACAAGTGAGTAGCAGGACCCCTTCCATACAAAAGCTGGAAGGACACCAAATAGATGGTCCAGAAAAGAAGAGAAAAAGTATTTTCTGCCCACCACCCTATTACTTCCTAGGAGCCACATTTATAAGCTACTGACATGTACAGAAGAAAAATGCAAATGGAAGAAAAAACCTGGTGAACAAATGATTTTAGGACCTAAAAACACAGGGTAAACACTCTTTGTCAGAATTTCAACCATGTTAGGCTCCAATACATTGGCTATTTCACCCATCTGGTCTTATTGTTTGACTATTAGCACCAGCAATAACCCATGATTCTGTGATCATCTCCCCATGGAAAAACAAAAATTAAGAGATTTTTCTGTGGAATTGGTATTTGTTTGTATGAATTAGGACTGAATTTGTACTTTACCTCTTCTTCTTGAGACCTTTTCTTATGAGCCATCTTGTATAACTTATGCAGTTTTCGAGCATCAAATTCTGTAAACTTGGAAACAAAAATCCATAGGTTCCTAAAAAGAAAAATGAACAGTTCTGGTGAATTATAGAATTAGAAAAGCAATTTTTTATGATCTTCATGGATGGCAAGCTATTAAATTTTGCTGTGGTATACTCCCTAAGCATAGAAATTAAGCTACAGAAATATTATTTCAGGTATTTGCATTAATAATACAGTAAGTCCTAACTTAATGTTGTCGATAGGTTCTTGGAAATTGCAACTTTAAGGGAAACAAAATCAATTTTTTTTCTCATCAATGTTATAATGAAACAAAGCTGAAGGAAACAACGTTATGTGAGGACTTACCGTACACCTTTACATGGTTCTGCCAAAAGAGTCTGACAGAGGGATTTAGAGACTAAGGCTCTATCAATACCTAGAACTCCTCCAAATTTCTATCAATGACACCCCAGACTCCAGTCCTTTTAAGTTTTCCTTCACTTTCTGGACTCTACCACAAATCCATCAGCACCACCATCTCCCAGGTTGTGGCCTCCATTCAGTTGGTCATCTCTGTGTTGCTGCCCCTCCTTCCTCCCAGTTGTCGCCACCACAACCTTTCATTTCTTCCTTAAAACTCTCAGTGGCTTTTTCCCTCCAATTCCATTATGTTCACCCTAGCATGGTGTTACTGCGCAACAGGGGAATGATATGATGAGACAGGTGTTTAGAAAGAGTAAGCACAGGTAGTCAGAGTGAGCCAGATAAAGGAGTCTCATATCTTCTCAAACTTCCTAACAGGTAGTTTCACCATGGCTTGCTGCTGACAGGACCACCTGTACAGGCTCCCTAACTAGTAAGCCTGCTGCATCAGGTGAAGAGCCATTTACCTTCCTGTCTAAAGCCTCCTATAAAGAGCTTCAGTCTTTTTAGCAAACTGTCTTTAAATCCTGAACACCACCCAGTCCCCTCCCTGTCCCACTTTCAAGCCTTTGCTGAAGCCTGAGAACTCTGTTCATCTCAGCAATTCGACTCAGCTCATGTATGCTCAGTTCAAGTGCACCTGCCTGCCTCTCAGAAGACCTTCCTTCCTGACTACTCTTCACGCACTTCCTTCTCAACACTTCCACTCTATCTGGGCTTGCATTTGCTGCCTCATGACGAACAGTTTCTCCGAGGGCTTACCTTGTACTACTTTTTTGACTTGTAAAGGGCGAGGACCTTATAAACTACTGCTAGCCAAGATCACAGTGCCTGGCACATTTAAAAATGGGTCTGTTCACTGGGATGACCTTTTGCTATCTTCTAATCAGTGTTAAATTTAAAAAGAAGAAAAAAAAAAAAGGCCAGATGCCGCTAGGTAAAGAAAGAAGTTGGTAACAGTGTTAAGCGGAAAAAAAAGTACCATTTTGAAAATTAAATCTTTTCTTTATAGGTGTGAAGCATGCTGTGGACACCATCATGCAGAAGTTTTCTTAAATCCACTTTTCACTCAAAAACCAGTCCTCTGAGATTGGACATATTATACAAAGATAATCACATTATCCATGAACTATATACAAGTTCAAAGTAACTGTGGTTATGTACAAACAAGCACATGTACCCTCTGAGTCTAAAATAAAATAAAAACGAAGTAACTGTGATTAATGGAAAGAGATTTAATGTTACAATTGCCTTTTAGAATTTCCAGCCATGGCTGGGCGCAGTGGCTCATGCCTGTAATCCCAGCATTTCGGGAGGTCAAGGCGGGCGGATCACCTAAGGTCAGGAGCTCGAGACCAGCCTGGTCAACATGATGAAACCCCATCTCTACTAAAAATACAAAAATTAGCCAGGCGTGATGGCAGGCACCTGTAATCCCAGCTACTTAGGAGGCTGAAGCAGGAGAATCTCTTGAACCAGGGAGGTGGAGGTTGCAGTGCCAAGATTGTGCCACTGCACTTCAGCCTGGGCGATAGAGTGAAAGAGTCAGACTCTGTCTCATTTAAAAAAAAAAAAAAAAAAAAATTTCCAGTCATGTTTTCTTAAAATATCCAAAGTGGACAGTGGATATATATCCAGCAATCCCACTACTGGGTATCCACCCAGGGGAAAAGAAGTCATTATATGAAAAAGGCACTTGCACTTACATGTTTATAGCAGCATAATCTGCAATTGCAAAAACATGGAACCAGCCTAAATGCCCATCAACCAACAAGTATATAAAGAAAATGTGGTACATACATACCATGGAATACTACTCAGCCATAAAAAGGAATAAAATAATGGCATTTGCAGCAACCTCAATGGAATTGGAGACCATTATTCTAAGTGAAATAACTCAGGAATGGAAAACCAAACATTGGATGCAAAGGCATAAAAATGATATAACGGACTCTGGGGGGAAGGGGGCTGAGGGATAGAAGATGACACACTGGGTGCAGTGTGCACTGCTCGGGTGATGGGTGCACCAAAATCTCGGAAATCACCACTAAAGAGCTTATCCATGTCACCAAACACCACCTGTTTCCCTAAAACTATTGAAATCTTTTAAAAAAGTTTCAGTGGCTATATAAAGGAACATTTATAAACCATGATGCCTTAAACACTGAAGTTCTAGATTAACTTAATCCAAATTACTACTTTAATTACTAAAAAAGCATATGAGAATAGAGAACTCATAGTTCTTGCGGTTTTAATCTTTGTGTCACCATGTGTTGGTACAGAACCAACCAATTAGTTGTATTAGATACAGTAATATCTGAATATCTGGATATCAACCTGAGATGGGT
The DNA here is from genome assembly GCF_000001405.40 of Homo sapiens. Lineage (NCBI taxonomy): Eukaryota > Metazoa > Chordata > Mammalia > Primates > Hominidae > Homo > Homo sapiens. The sequence continues at coordinate 93,009,646 of NC_000015.10, read as the reverse complement.
AAAGTAGTTAAGACCAGATGATTTTTGCCCCTTGTAGGCTTAAAGAAAATTTATTTCTGAGAATAGACCAGCAAATCCAGTAACACTATCTTTCTCTCATAAAATAAATTAATGACATCGTCCTACCCCTTCAAAAGGCTGGTCTCAGTGGAATGGCCTATTTCATGGAAAGGGAGTTAAAGCCTGCAGGTATATTGCCAATAGATGAGTTGTGCTGGGAGAAAGATTTCTTAGGTGGCTATGCCACCTTTTATTAAAAGAAAACAGAATCCACTCCCACACTCAGTCAAATCAAACTGGGCAGACGAGGCCAAAGTGGTTACCTCCTCCAGAGTTTGATGTGCTCCTGATCTGAGTAGGCTTTAAGGCACTCGGCTATCCGGTCTCCGATTTTCAGCAGGCAGTTCCGGGTGTGTTCCAGCTGTTCTTGCACGTTGAGCCCCTTGTCAGGTTTGTCGAGCTGTTTCAGTGCCTTTTTCACGGGCCTCATCCTCTCCTTACACTGCAACAGGACAACAGAGTAAAGACATAAACAATCTGCAGAAAGTAAGTCTTGTCCTTTGCTTACTGTGCTCTCGATGAAAACACAGCCCACCCCTATGCCATATAATTGCTAGAGGAAGAGTGGGTAAAGCTAGTGCAGTGGAGTAAGTGTAAGTATTCAAGTCAGAAAACCCTGAAGTGCAGTGCCAGCACCATCGCTTAGAGTTATGTGATAACCCTTCACGCCTTACTTAACCTCTCTAAATACTGCTTCCTCATCTGCAAGAGAGGCATGGCATGCCTCACAAGCCCATTTTGAAGATCTAATGAGCAGCAGTATTACAGACCTAATCTGAAATTCTCCCACCAGAAACTGTCTAAAAATACGGGATATAATATTTGCAAATCCTTCAGGCTTGAAAGAAAGCAAGAGAAAGGCTTCCAGATAAGATGGTAAACAGAACACAAGCATCTTTTCTCTGCCTCCCCAATCCCACTAAAACAATGGTAAAGGGACTGTCCTTAAAAGAGACAAGCCCACAAAGACAAGAGAAAACAAGAGAGAGGATAATGGCAACAAAATATTGGCAGCACGGGAAATGACAAAACAGACCTGAGAAAATGAAATTCGAAGCCAGGAGGGAAGACAGCCTAGAACTAACCTGACTTACACGGCAAAATTCCCCCAACGGCGAGGTGTCTTCAGAAGGAAGGATGAGGGCTAAAATGGGGAGCGGTTTAAAAACTGCTTAAGAAGTAACACATATCCAGATTCATAAGATACCCAGATCTCTAACTCCAACCAGCAGCAAATATAAAGACTTATTCTCCAGAAAAGGATAAAAGGACCTCTGAGCGGGACTGCACAGGCACAGATGAGGGCTGAGCCCACCACACTGAAAACAGGATTACCTGAGCACATGAGCACAGTCACACAGGATGACCCACACCCAGGTCTCTGCCTCTCACATTCCAGAGTGGATGGAGCCAGGCCTTCACGCTCTGGAGAGTCAGGAAACTGGGGCATTCTTCACAAAATGTGACCGCCCCAGAGGAAACACCAAATGATCCTGACTATCTGTCAGAAGTTTCTGCTACATCATCCTATAATGAAAACTTTCAAAGGAGATCAAGCCCCACCACCCACATGCTCAAACTTCCAATCACATGTTTCGTCCTCCACTCTTAAACATGAGCTGACAACTGAGGGTCAGCAAAGCCACCGAAGCAAAGTGTGTAACGTGAACAATGGAAAGCAAAGAGAAGTATAAAGATATTCGAGAGCGGTGGAGGAAAAAGATCTTGGAAAGAAATAATGTGAAACAAAGTTGAAGCAATCTCCCAGAAAGTAGAGTAAAAAGCAGAAATGAACAACTTAAAAAGTAAAATTAGGGACCAATATCCAGAATTCGATATCCAAACACAAGAAATTCCATAAAGGTAAAACTGGGAACTTAGAGAAAATTACCACCATATAATTCAAGAAAATTTCACAGAATGGTGTAGGGACATGGTTGTCAGCCACTGAGTATCTGGCACAATGAACTAAGTAAGACACATGGTCATGAAATTTTCAAATAATGAAAACTCTACAAATTCCCCATCACTTTGTGGTCATTTCCACAGCTACATACTTATTATTTGTGGATTTTTCTGTGTTATACTTCAATTTTTAAAAAGGACATAAAATAAAAAATATACCAAAAACTAAAAGACACCTGTAATGACTATAAAAAATAAAAGATTAGTATTAAGAATGTAAAAAGAATTCCTACAGAAAAGGTAAGAAAGATAAATTATTCCAAATATGTCAATTTTGAATAACTGAATAGGCAATTCACAAGGAACATGAATGACCACTAAAATATGAAAATAAATGTCCAACGACCTTCAGTCAGTATTTCATAGTCCTCAGATTAGCAAAAATTAACAACTGTTAACTGAGTCAGAAATTAACAACTGTTTCTAAGGCTGGTCAGCAATCAGAACTTGAATTCATTGCTATAATTCATGCAATCTCTACAACTGCTTTCAAGAGGAACTCGAGTATCTAATAAAGTGGCAGATGTGTACACCTAATGAATGACCCACCATTTTTGCTCAAGCCATACACCCTAGAGAAGTTCTCACTTGTGTAGTGCAAGAAAATATGGGCAACAATTTCACTGTAGCCTATTTGTAGTAGCAAACATTTGGAAAAATCCTGATGTCCACCAATACGGGAAAAAATTAAACTGTGGAAGAATAAATTGTAGAATAACATGAAACTTAAATGACAGCCACAATTATTAATATAGATAAATCTCAACAAATGTGACTGCTGTGAGAGGAAAAGCAAGTTACAGGATACACAAGTGCCAATTACAGTTTTAAGACATGGAAATCAATCCTCTATGTTGTTTATATGTGGGAGGCTACGTAGGACAATGGTTATGGACCCAACCTCTCATGCCGAACTGCCTGGGTCAAAACTGTGTTCTATGTCTTAGCTGTGTGACACAGGGCAAATCACTTAACTCTCTTCACCTTATTTTTAAATATGTAAAATGGAAACACTAACGTACCTCACAGGAGTGTTGTGGAAAAAATATATATAAAGCACATAAACAGTAACTGGCTATTAATGTGAGCTATTATCATCTTTACAGACTTAAGCAGTAAAACTCTAGAACCACACGTTAAGTATAAACATCGAATTCAGAATCATGGTTACGTCTGGGAGGTAAGAGAGAGAGAAAAGGCCGGGTGCGGTGGCTCACGCCTGTAATCCCAGCATTTTAGGAGGCTGAGGTGGGCAGATCATGAGGTCAGGAGTTCTAGACCAGCCTGACCAACATGGTGAAACCTCATATCTACTAAAAATACAAAAGTTAGCCGGGTGTGGTGGTGCGCATCTGTAATCCCAGCTACTCAGGAGGCTGAGGCAGGAGAACTGCTTGAACCGGAGAGGCAGAGGCTGCACTGAGCCGAGATTGAGCCACTGCAATCCAGCCTGGGCAACAGAGCAAGACTCTGCCTCAAAAAAAAAAAAAAAAAAAAGAGAGAGAGAGACAGAAAAAGCATAGGTTGAGAGGGAGGAACACCAAGGGATTCAGCTTTATATTTTGAGTCTTAAAAAAATTCAGATTTGACAAAACTTCATGGTATATTTATCAATGACTATTATATCCCTGAAATTTCTCTGCATCTTTTAAAGATTTCATAATATAAAAACAAGATTAAATGAGTCATTTGTAAGAGCATTTTTTAAATATCATGGTACCATAGAACATTAGATATCATTTTCTCTTATAAACACTCGGAAAAGAAAGACTAGGAAACAGATTGGTTAGCTGGCTATGTAATTAGTTTATTCATTTATTCAATTTACTCATTTATTGATATACTTCTAGCATCTAAATGACCTTTATATAAAACAATACTTGTCCTCAGAGAGCTCACAGGCAAAAAAGAGACTTAAGAAAACAGAGTTAAGTGCAAAGAAAACAATATCTATATACATACGTGTATAGGTTTTAGAGAACTCAGAGAAAGAAGTCAGAGAGAGGTTACAGGACAGGGTCAACAGGGTCCTTTGCTGCCACAGGATGGAAGTATTTTCAAATTTGAAAGAAAACCGCTTTTTCTTTCAGCCTGAATGAGCCGTTTGATTAATGGATTTGTGGAAGTATGGGGAGAAGAGACCACAGAGAGGTGGGGAAGGGATGGTGGCACAGTGAAATCTATACCTGCAGCTCCAGCCAGGGGCAAAGGGACCTTGAGGACACACTGGCCTGTATCCAATCCCGTGCAAGACCTGGTCCATGCACTCGCTCCCCATCGCCTTGCCCTCCCCTCTTCTCCTGTTACCTTTTATTCTTCCTTCAGAACCCAACTCAAACATCACTTCCTTACACAAGCCCTCCTGGCAACCCCTGACTAGGTCAAATTCCCTTCTCACAGGATCTCCACAGTATGCACTCTCTCTCCTCCAGAGCCCTGTCACAGGGGCACCAACATGATTTGTGTAGTTATCTAACTCCCCTACTCCAATGTACAGTTTACGATGATAGAAATGGTTATCTATTCAACATGGTAACTCTGGGGGCTGGAACACAGAAAACATTCAATAAATACTTGCTCAGTGAACACTTCTCTTTCCCAAATGCCTCTAAGGGCCCTGAGAGCCTCTCTTAACTAGGAGCACAAGACATGAAATCCACTCCTTAAACTTCCCCTCAATAAAAGACAAGAAAATCTCTTCCTGCCAGCCTGCTGAAGAGCACATGGTCTTCCGATACTGTAAGCAATGTGTTTCCCAAGTAATGTACTATTGCTTAGCTCAACTGAAGCTCTGGCTGGACCTATAAAAGGCAGAGCCACAGCAAGTACCGCGGCTGCAGACACTGGCACCCCCCGATTTCAAGACTTACTATGCTGAATGTCTCCTGGTCCAGATCATCATCCTCATCCTCTCCAATGGGGACAGGTTCACTTCCTGCTGTAATATGGACAGGACCCTGAGATCGCTTTGATTTACTCGAAGATTTGGCATCACCACTTTTAGGCTTTTAAAAAAGAGTTACAAGGAGTCATTGTCATTTGTGCAATCCTACCGTGCGATTTAGGTTTCTTACCTATGTTGTGTTATTAAAATGGGTAAATATGATGGTCTCAGTTTATTTTTTAAAAAGTAAAATAAAATCCTGAAACATCATGAAGACAAACCTGTCTGATTAGCAGCTTACTCACACATTATTCCCATTTCCATCTCTAAATGTACCCAATTATAACTTCAATTTCATCAGTGCTATTTTTGGGCTTCTTACTCCTTTATCCATAAAATGCACAGAAATGTCATCAAGAGGTTAAGCTTGTAAATTGGCAGAACTCTCTAGAGTATCATGTAGCAACCTTTATTAACAGCATACCCTTTGGTTTAGGAATCTGTATTAACTACATTATTGTAAATGAACTCTATACAAATCTCAATTACATTGAAGGAAAGGTTGCAGAAGAATATATAAAATGACTTCAGGTACTTTTTTTTTTTTTTTTTTTGAGACAGATTCTCGCTCTGTCATCCTGGCCGGAGTGCAGCGTCATGATCTCGGCTCACTGCAACCTCTGCCTCCTGGGTTCAAGAGATTCTTCTGCCTCAGCCTCCCAAGTAGCTCAGATTACAGGCGCACGCCACCACACCCAGCTATTTTTTGTATTTTTAGTACAGACGGGGTTTCACCATGTTGTCCAGGCAGGTCTCAAACTCCTGACCTTGTGATCTGTCCACCTCGGCCTCCCAAAGTGCTGGGATTACAAGTGTGAGCCACTGCGCCTAGCTTGACTTCATGTACATTTTTAAGCATACAGTATGCTTTGTTTATAGTTATATGGATATACACTATAATATGTACTACAAATATAAAAACATGAACAGGAAGGTTTCGGACCCACTTCACAGTAGTGGTTATGGGGAAAACAGAGGAAGAGTAATAAAATCAGGGAAAGGGAACAGGGGGCAGCTTCAACAGTATCAGTCATATGTTCATGAAATACAAAAGATATCAGCGTCTCCCCCCGCCTGGCCCCGCCAAAAAAAAAAAAAAAGCCACTTAAAGTAAACATGAAAAAATATTAACAACAGTTGTGGTATCTGGAGAGTGGATAAACAGATGTTTGCTAAAATTGCTCTTTTTTTATTTTTTTAATATTTTACTTTAAGAAAAATAATGTCTTTCTGTGGGAGCACAAATGCACAGGTTATTTATCACAGTATGGTCTATTAACATCAAAAATTAGAAAGTATTTCAAAATGGGAAATTCAAATTGCTTCTAACATGTTACACCCAAACAGAATCCTCCCCAACTATTAAAAATGATTTTTTTTTTTTTTTTTTTGAGACAAGGTCTTCCTCTGTTGCCCAAGCTGGAGTGAAGTGTGACACAACCATGGCTCACTGCAGCCTCGAGCTCCTGGGCCTAAGCAATCCTCTCACCTCTGCCTCCCATGCAACTGGGCCCGTAGGCACATGCCGCAATGCCCAGCTAGATTTTTGCTTGTTTTTATTTTGTAGAGACGAGGTCTCCCTACGTTGCCAAGGCTGTAAAAATGACTTTAACATTTAATCACTTGGAAAGTTGTGATATACTGCTAAGTGAGGAGGAAAAACTACCCAAACAGCCTAATCTGATTTTTATATTTGTTCTTAAATAGAAGTTTATTTTATATTTAATATAAAATTTCAAAGTAAAAGTTTCAAAGGCACTTATCAAGAAATCTATTAGAGTTATCAACTGGATATTAGAATTACAGCAGTTGTTTGTGTTTTGGCAATGATTTTACTGTGTTCAGAGGTCAGCAAGTATACACTGCAACACTGTACCAAATTCTTTGGTTTAGAATGAACTTCATAAAACCCCTAATGTAAAGGTTATAATAGCAAGGCTTTTCATCCATTTATATTCCAATAACTCTTGCTAATATTTGTTTTTGACTCAAACTCTTCAAGTATTCAAATTCAGTTGTGGATTGTGCTCCTCTAATATGAATCTGAGAACGTATTTCGTATTTACATGTAAATGCCGATTTCTCTCACCTGTCCTATCTCATTCAAACATTTCCCCCTGAAATATGTCATAAAAGACCAAGTAAAGGCCTTCTTTTTTAAAGAACACCCCAAACTTGCAGGTTCCCCTCTCTCTGCAAGGACAGGTGCAGGTATCCCATCAACGGCCCCACCCATCCTTCTTGAACATACCCATAAAAAGACAATTATTCCAGGGCCCTCAAATCTCATTCTACTTCTAAATCCAAATGGCGAATTGCAAAGGCTGTGGATATCTGCATGAACAGAAGGGCATCATTACCTTCTCTTTCTTATCTTTTGACTTCTTTCTTTCCTTGTCCCCTTCTTTGTCTTTCCTAGAACTCATTTGTTTCTCCTTGTTCTCCTTGTTCTCTTTCTTCTTCTGTTTTTTTTTCATTGGACTTTTTTCCAAGCCATCATCCTAGGAAACAAAACAGGGCTATGAATTTTTGCTACAAATTTTATATCTACTTATGTACTTTCTGGAAAAAGAAGCACTGCCCCCAGTGGTTCATCACTGTCTATACTTAGAAGCTTGTTTTCAAGCAAATAGCCTCAAGGGACTCAGAGAAGTCTAAACTTTCCAGTAATAACCAGTTACAACTGTAGAGGCAGAAGCTCTTTACTGATATCCTCTCATTTAATTCTCATAGCAACCCTTCAACGTAAGTTTATTATTCTCATTTCACGGATGGAAACTGAGTACCAAAGAGATTATATACCTATACAAAGTCAGCTAATAACTGATTAGGTTGCTAGTATTTAAATGTACGTATGTATTGGCCAGGCACAGTGGCTCATGCTCATAATTCCAGCACTTTGGGAGGCTGAGGCAGACCTGTCACCTGAGGTCAGGAGTTTGACACCAGCCTGGCCAACATGGTGAAACCCTGTCTCTTCTAAAAATACAAAAACTAGCCAGGTGTGGTGGCAGGTGCCTGTAATCCTAGCTATTTGGGAGGCTGCGGCAGGAGAATCACTTGAACCCAGGAGGTGGAAGCTGCTGTGAGCCCAGATCGCGCCACTGCACTCTACCCTGGGTGACAAAGCAAGACTCCATCTCAAAAAGCAACTCATAATAAATAAATAAATATCTGTATGTATGACTCAAATCCATGCTAGTTCCTGTACACACTGCTGATCCTCTTGGAGCTAATATCCAAGTACAATTACACTCTCAGAAATTCCATAAAGTTGTCACTGAAATAGCACACTAAATGATACCAACTTACTATTCACTTTACTTAGACCAGAGGTTACAAACTGGCAAGCCAAACCTGACCCACAGGAGTTTTGTTAACAGAACTCCATAGCAGCTGCCCCCTTTACATTAGGCATGAGCTCTCTGGTTAACCACAGTCCTGACCACTCCCCGTCATTTGCAAGAATGAGGCTACGTGTCAATCGCCATTTATCATTAAAACTTTAGGACGGGCGCGGTGACTCACGCCTGTAATCCCAGCACTTTGGGAGGCCGAGGCAGGAAGATCACCTGAGGTCAGGAGTTTTGAGACCAGCCTGGCCAACATGGTGAAACCCCATCTCTACTTACAATACAAAAATGAGCCTGGCGTGGTGGCAGGTGCCTGTAATCCCAGCTACTTGGGAGGTTGAAGCAGGAGAATTGCTTGAACCTGGGAGGCAGAGATTGCAGCGAGCCAGGATTGTGCCATTGCACTCCAGCCTCGCGGACAAGAGCGAGACTTCATCTCAAAAACAAACAAACAAACAACAACAACAAAAATGTCATAGTCCCCTTCATTTACTTCCATTATGTACAAATTTGCAGTTGCTGACTTAAACTATCCTCGCTGACAGATTAAGCGAAGACTTACATATTCTATTTCCATTTAATCCACTCGTAAACCAAACACATTTCAGATGATTTTATTCCAGCTGGCATGATAAGTATAGCTAAAATAAATAAATAACCCTCAACCGAAACCCCACTTCATACTTTCACTTCTCCCTCTTCTGATGGATTATCTGAATGCCTAGGAGATGAAAGCTCAATTCCATGCTCCTCTTTCAGCCTGGGCACTTTGTTTTCCTTCTTTACCCGAGGCTTCCGCTTCTTTAATTTGGCCTGGAAAAGGAGAGAAAATGATGATTAAAATACAAATCAAGACACTCAAAAGCATAACCAAACAACATGATGACTCTTTAAAGCAGTAGCAGCCATATAATTCAAACAAGAAAATTCCAAAGAAATCAAAAGAGTGCAACTCATTTTACCTCACAAGACCAAACCAAAACAAATAAAAACCTATAGGCCTTATACATGGCCTATACCACATTAAAATGTCCATATTCCTTTTTCGTTTTTTTTTCCGAGATGGAGTCTTGCACTGTCACCCAGGCTGGAGTGTAGAGGTGCCATCTTGCCTCACTGCAACCTCTGCCTCCCGGGTTCAAGCGATTCTCCTGCCTCAGCCTCTCGAGTAGCTAAGTGGGACTACAAGCACATGCCACCACCACTGGCTAATTTTTTGTGTGTCTTTAGTAGAAACAGGGTTTCGCCATGTTGGTCAGGCTGGTCTCGAACTCCTGACTTCAGGTGATCCACCCACCTCAGCCTCCCAAAGTGCTGGGATTACAGGTGTGAGCCACCTTGCCAGCCAAAATATCCATATTCCTTAAACCTACTGATTCCACATCTTTGGAATCCATCCTAAAGACACAATTTTTTTTAAAAAAGGAAAATCACTCTGTATACAAAAGTACAAATAAAGATAATATATTAAAGACATAATAGTAACATTAAAAAACCTGAAAGCAAGTTACATATAATAAGGAAAAGGTTAAAATACTGTTTATCTGCCTAATCAGATATGATCTGTAACATGATCTAACCTCTGCCTTTCCAGAGCCTAACACATAATATATTGCATACTCAACATATTATATGAAGAATGAGACTTATGACCCTATTACTTGAAAAAAATGAGGTGTGGTATTATGGGTTTTTTTCCTCAAATTTGCTTTGCTTATAATAATACAGGGAAATCAATATAAATGACATAGCTGCAAGAGCACTTAAAGAACATGCACACATGGGCTGCTAGTACAGGGTGTAACTTGTATTTCTTAGCTGGGATTCCATCTTTCTGGGCCTGAACTGAAATTATAAATTGGGGAAACAAAAGGAGATAAAGCTCAGCTGAGTTCACTGAGAATTTAGTTGGTATTTCACACAGCAAGTAAGGTCTAGTTTCTGAATTAACTGTGCATTACAACTGTCCATTTTATCTCTGGGATCCACTATTACAAGAACCACAGAGACAGACAGAACAACAGGCAAACCCACAGGTATTCAATGCAGTAACTGCAACTATGTTCCAAAATTGAGAAAGTAGGATAAAGAAACAGTAACAGTATGTGTGGAATAGTGGGACTGGGGAGCAGAGGATGAATTTGAAGCAACATTTCAGAAGGATGGGTTTGTAAGAAAGCTGCCAAGATGCCGTGGTCTTAAATGAATTTTTTTTTTTTTTTTTTTTTTTTTTTTTTTTTTGAGACGGAGTCTCGCTCTGTTGCCCAGGCCGGAGTGCAGTGGCCCGAACTCGGCTCACTGCAAGCTCCGCCTCCCGGGTTCACACCATTCTCCTGCCTCAGCCTCCTAAGTAGCTGGGATTACAGGCGTGTGCCACCACGCCCGGCTAATTTTTTTGTATTTTTAGTAGAGACGGGGTTTCACCATATTAGCCAGGATGGTCTCAATCTCCTGACCTTGTGATCCGCCCGCCTCAGCCTCCCAAAGTGCTGGGATTACAGGCATGAGCCACTGCGCCAGGCCTAAATGAACATTTCTATTATTACCAAGCAAAGCATCATTACTGGAACCTCAAAAACAAAATATGCCCATGAGAAGGTGACATTCTGTGCAGTGCTCAGAGAGGGCCTCTCTCTTCCTACCTAATTCTGCAGGGTAGGAGCCTCAGGCCCCTGAAAAACAACCAGCTGGCAGCGTACTCACCTCTTCCCCACCTGTCACAGCCCCCTTCTTCTCCAGACCCTTTCTGAGCAGCTTCAACAAGTAATCCGCTCGGGTCTGTAGCTGCTTCCCCTGAGGCTTTTTATCTGTCTCCACCGGCAGAATCTTCAACAAGAAAGGAAGAGAAGCACCCGCCACCACCCACATCCTGGTTAGTGGATCAGGATAAACAGAGACAACAAAAACTGAGCACAGTCCTTTCCCTCCCCAACCACCCAAAATATAGATAAAGCCTCAGATCCTATCTCATGTCCATGGCTCCCAGTCACTGAAAATCCCTCACGAGCCGTTCTCATTTTACAAAATGGGATGGAGAAATCCAGCTCTCCCAATGGCTCCTACCTGTGCTGTTAACAGGGTAGAACAACTCAGGTAGGAGGGGCTTGTGGCTTCATCTGCTAGAGCATCCCAGCCGTCGTGGATTTCCTCCTTCCAGGAGCAGGGAATCCCTGGAGCTAGGTTAAAGCTTCGTTTTAGATTGAAAATGCTTCTTAGAGCATTGCCGGAGAGCACTGAGCTACGCCAGGACATGATCTGTTCCTTGCTACAACAACTGGGTCTCTTGCCAGACTGAATCTGGTCTCAGTGCTTAAGGCAGGGTGCTGTCACCCTCCTAAAACCAGATGGGATGAGCACTGTTGAACTGCCAGGAGCACAACATGGAGCAAATCCTACCAAAATTTGAGCCAGTCAGCCTTCCCTGCTTATAGCTCCAACCATGGCCTTGCTACTTGCAACAGATAGGGTGGGAGGCTCGATTTTGTGGGAGAAGAACAGCCAATGTTTAATTCCATTACAAAGAATACCAAGGTGACATTCAATCTTTACGTGAGGAAGTGAAATATGGTTGTTTCAAATGTACTTTTAAACAAAGGGCCAATAACTAAGGCCAAGGAATGCTTTTATCATTAACAAACTCACCTGGGTATTTATTGTAATGAAATCTGACCTATAATTAAATACCAGAATTTTAAGATTTCTCCTACAGTTTCCCCAAAATTTCACCTGGCTACTGTCTTTTCCCTTTATCTTCATCCGTGAAACAGTGCCACAATCTGCTAAAGATGGAAGTATTTCCAAGAATGACTATACTAATTTCTAATTTGATGCCCCCTCGAAAATAGTTAGAAATAAGTAATCGATATAAAAATATTACACAACAAATCTTCTAGAAATCTCTAGCATGGTAGGGTTACTTACTTTGTCAGTTAATTTAAGCTCTGGGTCTGTTTTAATTAACTCCCAGTTTCCATAGCCATGTTCATAAATCCCCAGCAACAGGCGAGAATCATCTTCCACCCCCCACTCTACATCAAAATGTGCAGCTTTGACACGACAGGTTAAGCAGTATCTAAAGAAAGTTTAAAAACAGGAAGACATTAGAAGAGGGGCCTTTTTGGTATGTTAAAGAAGAGACAGTAAAAATACTATGGAACTACACAAAGTCTAACTTCAAATCTATTTTCTTACGGTACGACCATCTAAGCATGTACACAAAATATACTCACTTTTTTTTTTCTTCAGGGTCCACAGGGATAGATTTATGCAGCATCTCAAACTCCTCTTCATGTTGGATAATGGATTTCACATTAACCTGAACTCCGGATATCTTGATTGTTGGACCTCTCCTTTTCCCTGGTCCTTTTCCTGAAAAATACCAGTTTCACATTAGTTAAATGAAAATCTGCAGAAGTTCCACAGAAAACATGTATCAACGAACCCTGACCTCTTAGTCTCTCTGAATATATCTCTGGCTTATTGTTATTTTGAAGATATAATCTATAAGACAAATTTTTTTCTCAACTAATGTCTGTAAAATAACCTCTGAACATTCAGTCTTTTAAGATTTGGAATTCTTTTTTAATTCACTGATGTTTATAGTTGTATTTTAATCTTCCTGCTTGTTTTATACTACTTTGTTTCCAAATGAACAAAAGTAGATTCTGAGGGTATAATATTAGTGCTGAAGGTTTCTCTTTTTGTTTTCCTACCCATCCCACTAGCGAAGGTCAAAAAACTCTCAAGTGTTTTAAAAATGAACTTGATCTTCACAACACTATTACTGAAAACACATGAGCTTAAGTTCACATCTAACACATGTGAAATGATGAACAAGTGGTGGCTTAAGAAAATTACACTAACCCAGGCGGGCGCGGTGGCTCACACCTGTAATCCTAGCACTTTGGGAGGCTGAGGCAGGCAGATCACGAGGTCAGGAGATCGAGACCATACTGGCTAACACAGTGAAACCCCTTCTCTACTAAAAATACAAAAAAATTAGCCAGGTGTGGTGGTGGGCGCCTGTAGTCCCAGCCACTCGTGAGGCTGAGGCAGGAGAATGGTGTGAACCCAGGAGGCAGAGCTTGCAGTGAGCCGAGATCACACCACTGTGCTCCAGCCTTGGAGATGGAGCGAGACTCCATCTCAAAAAAAAAAAAAAAAAGAAACTTACCCTAACCCAAATTTCAAATTAAAATGATCACAGAAGTAAAAATGAAGCCCCAACCAAATAGTCCAACTTGAAATCCATGAGATAATGCTACCTGTGAGAGGAAAACTCCTTTCAATAGAAAATGGGCAGCACACATGAATAGACACTTTATAGAACAAAATGCAAGTGACCCTTAGAGATGTACAACCTTGTTCGTTAAAAGAAAAATGAAATACCGTTTCTCACCTATCAAACTGGCAAAACTCCAAACGTTTAACAATATATTCTGTTTGTGAGGCTTGTGACAAACATTGTGGCACCAGACTTATGCAGAAGGATTTGGGAATATCGAAGCAAAGTATATACGCATTTTCCCAGGACCCAGCAATCCCACTTCTAGAAATTTATCCCAAAGATATGCTGGCAGAGATATGAAATGGTATATTCATTAGATCATTATTCATTGTGACTTTCTTTATAATAACAAAAGACCGAAAACAACCCAAATATTAAATACTAGGGGGGAAGTGTGAATTGACATCTATCTACATGGTAGAATACTCTGCAACTGTAAAAGGAAAGAGGATGATCTCTACATAATGATATGAATTTATCTCAGTCATGAAAATAAGCAGGTGCAAAAGAGTATGTTCTCTTCTGTGTAAGAAGGAAAATACACACGCACACACACTTAAATTTTAAAAGAAACAATCAAAGATAAACTTACAACTAATAGAAACAGTGACCTATTAAGGAGGAAGAGAAGGCAGCTGGGGAACAAAAAACGAAAACAAGATGCTCCAAATGTACCTTGTTTTATAGTTGTGACTTTGAACCATGTAAATGTTTTTACATAATTAAAAAAATTAAATCGAATCTAAATGAGAAAAGCAGTCCCTAAGTACTGAAAATAAATGAAAACAAAAGAGTCTAACTATATATTAAGGTGGTGGCATTAACCACACAGAGAAAGGAATAACTTTGAATAATTTAAACATATATTTTGACTTTATATTGTTAGTGTGATATATTCTAAGATCAAAAAGAAATGCAAAGAAATCACACTTCGCATTTCAGCATTCTTTTGTTAACAGTAAGATTGGTATTGGTATTTGGAAACATATGTTTGGGATAAAGCAAATATGTAATTATGTTAACATTTTTAGAAACAAAAATTTCAACCTAAGGGAAAAAAGGTATCAATAATCTTCCATTTGATCTAGAAATGTCAGCCTGGATTCAGAATATGCTGAATACCAGTTTACAGGAAATACAGGTGTGAGGAAATAAGTTAATACCAGGAAGAAGCAATCAGCCAGATCCAGAATGTGGACATGCACAAAAAAAAGGGAGACTTTGGGGAGAAGGGACTGTTAAGAAAACAGCTCCACAAGATACTATGAGATAAAAAAGCAAGCACAGAAAAGTGTGCATGCTGTACTACCATTTAAAAGGGAGAAAACATTATTCATTTCTCAAAAGCATCAAGAAGTAACAGGAATACGTTTTTCAGTTTTAAGCCATGTAGATGTATTACTTATTCAAAACAATTACATAGAAAACATACTGTACATTAAACCTAAAGTTTACTTTTGGGTGTATTCTGAATGTTATAAAAGCACATATTCAGATCATTTTGCAAACCATACAAGTTATTTGTCTTTTACAAAAAAGAACATTATCTTAAAATAAGTTTTGACTCTCTTGAAGATATTTTTAAATTATATCAAATTCAATAATATTAAGGTTATTATTGAATAATAAAATAATTTTTTATTATTAAAATCTTAAAAAGAAAAAAAGAAAATTTCAAAGCACAAATACTCACTTCTTAATAACAGCTAACATTGCAAGCCAGACGCCATTGCTAAACAATTTACAAGTATGGAATTATTCAATTATCCAAATCCTTTGAAGTAGATACTATTACTCTATTTTGCAAATGAGACAGTTGAAGGGATATAACTTGCCCAAAGTCTTATAACTAGAAGTGGTAGAACCAAAATTCCAGATAACTGACTGCCTCTTTCTCTGGAGCCTGAAGATTTAACCACAGCTCAACAAAGCTGCAGAAGGGTAGCCTTACCTAAGTAAAGGCTGTCCCCAAAAAATGCAGAAATGGCACAGATAAACCACAGTCTGGAGAAGTAGAATGATAATAACTTCATTTCTTTATTTTTTAATTAATTTATTTATATTTTGAGACAGGGTTTCGCTCTGTCACCCAGGCTGAAGTGCAGTGGCATGATCTCAACTCACTGCAGCGGCATGATCTCAACTCACTGCAGCCTCTGCCTCCTGGTCTCAATCGAACCTCCCACCTCAGCCTCCCATGTAGCTGGGATTACAGGTGTGCATCCTACTACTTTCGGCTAATTTTTAAACTGTTTGTAGAGACAAGGTCTCACTTACATATTGCCCAGACTGGACTTGAACTCCTGGGCTCAAGTGATCCTCTGGCCTCAGCCTCCCAAACTGCTGGGATTACAGGCGTGAGCCACTGCGCCTGGCCTCTCTTCGTTTCTTTAAAGTTCACTATGAGGGTGTCCTTACCAATAACTACTTCAGAGTTCTCTCCTCACAAGCATTCCTATACCTCTTGCTTTTAAAGATATCACACAGGACAGGCAAAATCACTTTCTGGTATCAAAGAGAAAACACACTGCATGTCCAATCCAATGAGAACAAATTCTAGTGGCATGAAAATCTCAACGTAACCCAAAAATGTTTACGATACTCATCCAATATTTTATTTATTCCAATTAATTCTCTAAATCCTTTGTGTTTGCCATAACGCACAATATATATCCAAGATAATTAACAATGCTTGTGATCTATAACACCTCTTATTTGCAGCCAAAATACAGAGGTGTCCACCAAGCTCTGCCCCTGGGTTTTTACATCACTCCGACGAATTTAAACTTTCTACAGCAACACAAAAAAAAACCATTTCATCTTTTTCTTCACTCTACACCTTCTGCAAATCAACTTCATTTGTGAGTAGACCTGTAGGAGAGTAGAATATTAAGCTCACAGAAACGCAGCTCAGAATAAACACCTGAAATCACTAGGCATGTGTGGTCCTCAAGCCTGTCCTTAAAACGCCCTTTAGCAACAGAAATCCAGTCCAAGAGTGCCAGGTTGCGAAGACTCACTAAAGCCAACTTCGCTTACCCTCGCTGGCATTTTCTTTCAGCTGCTCTTCGTATTCCTGCATTGCTGACACACAGCTGTTGTGGATCAGTTCACCCAGGCGCTTCAGATCTGCCACCGACTTATCTACCAGCTCAGCATCACGTGCTATGCACTCCAGCCTGAGGAGGAACAAATATGGGGACACTTTAGGACCCTGTGCCCACTCTTCTTAAGTGTCATGAGATGCCACTAGGCCTCACATAATCTTCTCCTGCAAAGACACTTTTCTTTGCGTTCCTTTAGTGGTCATTCTAAGGCTCCAACAAGAACCCCTGGACATTGACTGAAGGCTAACACATTCATTTTCCATCATAAAGAATTGTGTCTTGAATATTCCACAAAACAAAATAATTCCAAAAAACAGAGAGGAAAGAAAGAAACAAGCAAAGCAAAGTTTATTAAATAAATAGGCTGTTAGTGGCAGCAGGTGAAGTGCCTGAACACCATCCGTACTAGCTTGCTTCTTTTGTGTTCACTTTCCTTTCTCCAGCCTACTTTCATTCACTGCAATGCTCCTAGAAGCAGAGTATAGCTACTTCTACTATATGTTTAGTTGATCTCCATGTCATATGAAGCACACAACTACATTAACAGCTAAAAAACAGGCTGTCAAAAGGTGTCAAGCCCCCTTTTCCACATTCTATTGGCTTTTACGGTAACTGGCCCAAAAACAGACAGTCTACCCCTGGGTGGTCAGCAATAGTCCTGGAAAGATGCAACTGACCTTCTTGGCCTTGCTGTGGCTTAATGCTACACATCACTACCTCCTCGCCAAATGGAGAGGACCAAACAAAAACAGGCTTGTAATTTTCACCCACTCAAGAAGTTTATCAGAAGAAAGAGAAGGGAGCCCAGTATTTCCTTTAAATTAGGGCTTTTTAGATTTTATAGGAAGTAAAGTACCGAACCATTTCAAATAGAGTCTTCTGTTAAAATCTAACTTCTGAATTATTTTCTAAATGCTTATAGAATAGTAACAACAGCTACCCTTTTGGAAGTTTTTATAGTCAAGGCTATGTTAAGTCCTTTGTATTTAATCCTCATAAAATCCTGCTAATTAGCAGAAGATTATAAAATCATAAAGAGCCTTTTACCTTTGACATTATTAAATCTAAGAACTAGGATACAAATAATAACTACATACATTCTTTTCAACTGGAGTTACATGAACATCTCTCTGGAAATTATTTCACGCACTATGGTTTTGAATATACTTGCTTTATCTCCCTCACGAAGGTGAAAGTCTTTTTATGGATGGCCTGTCTTTATCATCTTTGTCATCCCTCTGCAGAGAGACATGAATGAACAGGCACCCAATATATAAATGTTTGTAAATAAATGTTTCCAGAAAAAAAAATGTTCCCAGCATTAGTATTAAATGGAAAAATTTACCAAAAAAGAACGTACTATATAATAAAAGCAAAAAAGAGGAAGATAAGGGACTATTACACTGAACTTACCGTTCAAGAGGGAGACCAAACTTCTTATAAGCCTTGATGAACCTAAGAATAGGATCAATAAAACATATTAAAAAAACAGAGACTTACTTTAGTTATGTTGATGCTAGCATATCCTGTGATGACATATGAGCCATGCAAATTGTCAAAAATAGAGTGGACTCAATCCTTGCACTACCAAAAAAATGAATAAATGTTGAATGTCTTTGAAACTAGTCAACTTAAAATAATGACTGCTAAAAATCTATTCAAATTAAAGATCAACTTTATTCTCAGTGACTGTACATAAACCTGCTTAGATAACATGCTAGAGAACTGTGACTTAGCTCTAATATCCTTTTTAGAAGATACAAGTTTATAGACTTCACTGTGTCATAAAGGATTCAATCATCACGACTCTATTGTGACAAACCCTTATATCGTTTCATCAGCGTATTCAGTTCACCACTGTTACCTTCAATACCATATTTTTCGTTATTAGAAAACCAATGATTTTTCAGCTGTTAAGATTTTTTTGACTGTCTCAAATAGTTTTTGGAATAAGGCACAGTAAAATATGATTTAAAACTTCTTAGGCAAACAATTTTGGAAACTCTACTGACCTCTCCTCCCAAAAATCCAATCTATCTTCCTGCAAGTCTCTACCCTAAACTATGCTACATACCAACTCATGCCATCATCCCCATTCCTACAGGCTGGTCACCAGTACTTTCCACTAAAAACCAGGACTTCATGACACATTAAGGGCATCATGTAATATGCCAAATTACTATGATAATTGGGTTATATAACCATGTAAGGACAGATGCTAAGGGAAAAATGGAAATGAGAAGACATGGCTACAGAATAAAATGGGACTGAATATGACAATAGCTAAAAACAACATTAAAGGAACAGCGCAGATACAAAGGTTAGGAAAGTATTATATATGAACAAAACCTGAGGATTACTCCTTAACTGCATTTCTCCTTCTTGACAGACACTGAAATATTTTATGTCTAAATAACAACACTTCCGAAATGACAGACTAAGGGTCTGTGAAAATCTGCTCCCCCATAAAAGCAATAGGAATGCTGGCATAAACGGTCACAATCAGTATTGTCACAACTCTGGAAATTAACCAAATGCGTGCAGCCATCTAAGAAATTTATTCAAGAAAATGGCTCAGCAAGCTTCAAGGCATTTTTTAACTTGCACTATTCCCACCCCTTAACCCCAGCTGCATGACAGCCTTCAAAACTAACACTTCTGCAACTACAATAGCTGTGTAACCAGCAGCACAGCAGCCACTGGAGGGTAAAGAAGAGGTTGAGAGTTCTCCAAAAGCCCTATTCCCCCAGAATGACTGGACCTGGCTAACAGCACCCTAAGAAGCTCCATTCTCAGGCTTGTCTTTATTGGACTGACCCAGAACTCACTGTGTGAATAGCCCTGTCCAAAATTCATTGGTCAAAAACAATTAGATGCAAAGATTTAACACCATGACGGCCTGAGGCAACATTACCAACTGGAAATAACAAAAGGTTGAACAAAGACAAAAAGAAAAACTGGGAGGAAAGATGTTCATAGGATAGATACTCTGAAAAGCTCTGACATGTGCAGGTCTGTGTCCATGCAGAGGAAAGATCTCAAAGGGTCCTTCCGCACGCTCCTGGGACACCCTCTGCGCTTTGGCTTCTTGTCATCATCAGACTCTTCTGTCTCACTCTCAGAAGCAGAGGATCTCTGGGCCTGCCTCTTGGACTCACTGTCAGAGTCACTGTCATTTGTCTGAGCCTGAGAAAGACCTTGAGCAACTGTGCAAGCAGGAACTGAAAGTTAAGGCAGAGTTGTCAATTGCCTTCCAGAGCATTGAAACGTGCCCCAACAACACATACCCAGCCCTTCAACAAAGGCTGGTAGACTTACAGGCTCAAAGCATTTAAGGAAATCTCTGTTCAATCATTAGCTGACCACTAAGCTAAAGGAGTAGAGACTACACATAGCATGACAAGGATCACATAACATGACAAAGAATACAGACTTCAGATAACTAGTACAGGAAAGTCACTAAACAAGCAAATACAACAGCAGCGGCAAACACAACACATGGCTGGGAGGGGAGATCTGATTTCCAGAGTTGCCATATGATTTAAAATGTCCAGTTTTTCACGGGAAAAATTACGGGACATATAGAAAACCAAAAAGTAAGCTGGGCATGGTGGCTCACGCCTGTAATCCGAGCACTTTGGGAGGCCGAGGCGGGTGGATCACCTGAGGTCAGGCGTTCGAGACCAGCCTGGCCAACATGGTGAAACCCTGTCTCTACTAAAAATATAAAAATTAGCTGGGCATTGTGGTGGGCACCTGTAATCCCAGCTACTCGGGAGGCTGAGGCAGGAGAATCACTTGAACCCAGGAGGCGGAGGTTGCAGTGAGCCAAAATCGCGCCATTGCACTCCAGCCTGGGTGATAGGAGCAAAACTCCATCTCAAAAAAAAAAAAAAAAAAAAAAAGTATGAAGTATGAAGTATACATAGGAAAAAAAGCAGGTAATAGAAACCATCCCTAAGGAAGTCTAGCATGTAGGCTTATAAGACAAGGATGCTAATCAGCTATTATAAATATTTACAAGAGTTAAAAAAAGTCTGCCTAGAGAATTAAAAAGAAAGGTCGAAAATGATATCAATAGAAACAGAAATGCTGTTTAAAAACGGACATTTTTTAAAGAGTGAAATAGAAATTCTAGAGTTGAAAACTACAATAACGGAAATGAAAAAAAAAATCACTGGTGAGGCTCAGCAGCAGATATTAGCCTGAAGAAGAGAGAACTGCCAAATCTGAAGATAGGCCAATTGAGATTATCCCACGTGAGAAACAGAAAAAAAGAAATTAAGACTTTCCTTCAAAAATGAAGATGAAATTAACAGTGCGAGCTAAGCCAAAATAGAGAATCCATTGTTAGCAGACCTGCCTCAAAATAAAATGCTAAAAGAGAGTCCTTTGGGCAGACATGAAAGGACATAAAATAGTAACTCAAATCACATGAAGAAATAAGAGCACCCATGGAATAATAGAGTAAGTAAATATAAAAACAGTATACATGCATTTTTGTAACTCTTTTCCTTCTATCTGATTTTAAAAGACAACTAACTAGGCTGGGTGTGGGTGGCTCACGCTTCTAATCCCAGCCCTTTGGGAGGCCGAGGCACACCGATCACCTGAGGTCAGAAGTTCAAGACCAGCCTGGCCAACATGGTGAAATCCCATCTCTACTAAAAATACAAAAATAATTAGCCAGCGTGGTGGCAGGAGCCAGTAATCTCAGCTACTTGGGAGGCTAAGGCAGGACAGTCACTTGAACCTGGGAAGTGGAGGTTGCAGTGGGCCGAGATTGCACCACTGTACCCCAGCCTTGGTGAGAAGAGCAAAACTCCGTCTCAAAAGAAAAAAAAAAAAGAGACAACTAACTATATAAAGTATGAATTATAAAACTGCATTGATGGGTTTAAAATGTGTAAAGATGTAATGTGCGACAACAGCACAAATGGGGATGGTGAGCTATAACTGGGGCAAAGTTTTTATAATGCCATTGAAATTAAATTGATGTTAATTCAAAGTAAATTGTTCTAAGATGTTACTTGTAATTTCTAGGGCAACCACTAAGAAAATAAGTGAAAAAAAAAGTTTTTTTTTTAAGGTAATTAAAATGGTATATTATATATTTAACACAAAGGAAAGTAGTAATGGGGAAATAAACAAAAAAAACATGACATATAGAAGACAAATAGCAAAATGCAGACATAATTCCTACTTTATAATAACTGCATTAAATGTAAATAGATTAAATACTGCAATCAAAAAAAAGAGATTGGCAGAAAAAATATTTTTAAAAAATTTTAAGATACCATCTTTTTTTTTTTTTCCTTCTTCTTTTAGAGAGTTTTGCTCTGTCACCCAGGCTGGAGTTTAGTGGTGCCATCTCGGCTCACTGCAAACCTTGGCCTCCTGGGTTCAAGCAATTCTCGTGCCTCAGCCTCAGCCTCCCAAGTACCTGGGACTGCAGGTGTGTACCACCACACCTGGCTAATTTTTTGTATTTTTAGTAGAGAGAGGGTTTCGCCATGTTGAGACCATGCTGGTCTCAAACTCCTAGGCTCCAGCGATCTGCCTGCCTTGGCCTCCCAAAGTGCTGGGATTACAGGCGTGAACCACCATGCCTGGCCAAATACCATTTTTTAAAATTTCAAATACCCAAAAAGAAAGCTGGAGTGGCTATACTAATATCAAACTGAAAATAGGAATTAAAACAAAAATTGTTACTACAGACAGAAATACATGTTACAATAAAAAGGCCAATCA
The DNA here is from genome assembly GCF_000001405.40 of Homo sapiens. Taxonomy (NCBI): domain Eukaryota; kingdom Metazoa; phylum Chordata; class Mammalia; order Primates; family Hominidae; genus Homo; species Homo sapiens. The sequence goes on along the minus strand of NC_000015.10, from coordinate 92,987,179 downwards.
AGACCTATCGATTATAAAAAATATATACAATTAATAAGAGTCCAAAAACACATGAAGCAAAAACTAACAATTGAAGAACAAATGGATCATATAAGAGTAACAGAGATGTCAACATCCCATTTTCAATAATGGGTAGAACAACTAGGCTGCGCACGGTGGCTCAGGCCTATAATCCCAACACTTTGGGAGGCTGAAGCAGGAGGATACTTGAGGCCAGGAGTCTGAGACCAGCCTGGGCAACATAATGAAACCTTGTCTCTACCAAAAAAAAAAATTTTTAATTAGCCAGACATGGTGGCACATGCCTGTAGACCTGGCTACCTGGGAGGCTGAGTGAAAAAGGCACTCAGGCAGGAGGATCACTTGAGCCCAGGAGTGTGAGGTTACAGTGAGATAGGATCATACTCCAGCCTGTGCAAGAGAGCAAGATTCTGACTCTACCAAAATAACCACAACTATACAGAAAATCAATGAAGAAATTAAAGACCTGAAAAACACTAAGCCAAATACAGCTATAGAACATACTGCCCCATAGCAGAAAACACATTCTTCTCAAAATAATACTGGGAATAGGGAGCAAGAAGAGGTGGGGTGTGTATATATACATACAATTTTGGCTACAAATTCAAAATTGTTAAGATGATAAGCACAAGAGGGGATGTGTTACATGCTATTCTGTCAGTATTTTGAAATATTTCTATTTTTCCATAGTAAATTAAACAAAGAAAGAAGAATAGGTGTGACCTTTAAGTGAAAAGAAACACCTCACAGTTTCAAATACATGAAACTTAAAGGACTATTTAATATAATTATAATATGGATTAGGCCTTAAAACCATCTTTATACTTTCTATTTTCTTCAGGCTTAAAAAAAAAAGATGGAAACTGGAAAAAAAATAATTTGTAAGCAACAATTTTAGATTTTTTTATGGAGGATAGAGACATTTGAATCAGATACCAAGAAATGTATAGTAATCACTCACATAGAAAGATGTCTAAAATGGATTTTAAATGGGATCGGGGAAAGCAAGGTGCTGAACAACATGCTGTACATACTACTTATAAATCAAAGCAAACCACTAGCAAACTGATGTCAGTACTAACACAGGTGGAAGTGGGATTGTGGCGGAGGGGAGAGGTAGTGAGGGTAGACTTATTTGTACCATTTTTATTTTTGATATTTCTTTTATATACAGATACATAAGTCTGTATATACATGTATGTCAATTATCTCCTTCCCCGAGCTGAACTTTGTGAAAATGTTCTGAATAACCAGAGAATAAGAGAGAAATAGAGAGATGAACAACAAATAAAAGTGATCTCAACAGAAAGAAACCTTGGAGAAGGAAGGATCATCCTACAGATCTGGGACAGGACCCAGCTTCTCTTTCCTTTTTTGTAGGTATTAGCCTCTGCCTACCCTGTCACGATGTCCAGGATCCAGTCAACCCAAGACTTACAGTACGCACTTTCAAACAAGCTCAGTGAGAACAGAGCCTCCACCAACCTTCGGATCTCTGCATCAGTAAATCCCTCCACGAGGTCCTTCCGCACACTCCTCGGACGCCCTCTGCGCTTTGGCTTCTTGTCATCATCAGAGTCTTCCGTTTCACTCTCAGAAGCAGAGGATCTCTGGGCCTGCCTCTTAGACTCAGTGTCAGAGTCACTGTCATTTGTCTGAGCCTGAGAAAGATCGAGGCAAAGTCACACTGTAACAAGTGCGAAGTTCAAGTGGTGAAAGGACTAAGAGAAGGCCATCTTAATTCTTTAGTATTCAGAACTTCTCACCATATCAGACAAGTCAATTTTCCTTTGACAAATAAGGGGAGACAGGTCTTGGAGAAATACCCACTTAGGACAGTCATACTTTCAGAGACATTGTAATATAACGATAAGTGAACTGGATTAAAAATATATGAATATTTTTACAATATCCCATTATAAAACAGGTTCATGTTTACTCCTTTGGGCAAGTAATTTTACTCTTTGTGCCTTTATTTTCTCATTTGAAAAATGAAGACAATAGTACCTATAACAGATGGTTTTCAGTAAGTTAAAGCACTTAGAAGTATGCCTAGCACATTGTAAGGGCTCAATAAATGGTAGCTAGTGTTACCTCATACTGATTTACTGTGACCTTGAACAAATCTGTGTCTATTACCTCCAACAAAATGGGTAAAAAAACTTGTTCTACCTATTTCAATGTTGTTACAAAAATCAAATTAGATAGTGTCTGTGATGGAGCTTTGTGAACTGTCAAGTTGGTATATGTTTCTTATTTATAGTTATATAATCCTTTACTAAGTATTTATATCAAGTGCTGTGAACTGTTATGGACAAACAGAGGTGTGACTTTCTGAAAGTTGAAGGCAGTGGCAATTAACAGCCAAACTGTGAGGACTACTCAAAGGCAAAATGCAAACTTCTGGAAATTTCAGACCCTGTTTATCAGCTTCACAAAGAGCCAATTTGCAAAGACCAAATCCGATGTCTCACAGGTGTGCTCAGGAGCTCTGCAGATTTCTCCACTTTCCTTTGTTAAGTTTCCTACAGTATCAACTCTGCTCCTGAAGCCTCTGTGTCAGGGGAACAATGCAAGGCCTCTTCTTTGAATAATCAACACTTCTGTAGCATTCACAACATAAGAAATAATTTCATATCTTTCATCTCACTTGATCACCTTTTTAGTGGAACTCCGAATTCGAGGCAGCATATAAATTTCTTCTAGCTCCTTCTGCCGCTCTTCCTCCTCTACTTTTTTCCTTTGTTCCTCTGGAATGATCTCATCCCAGTCCTTGTGAGGACGCTCTTCTAGCTCTTCTTCATCTTCCATTGTTGCAAAGTTGGCAACCTTAAAACAGACAACCCATTGTCTGACATTTCCCTATTTCTAAACACCATCTACTAAAACAATTTATCCAGTGTTTTTATCTAAGTAGACACTGTGAATAATAGGACTTTTGTGATATTACATAATCAGATAATCAATTTTCTATTAATTTTTCCTTTATACCCCCAAAAATCAACTTGTCAAGTCCTCAAGTTCATCACATCATAAATTTTACTGAAAAGCAGAGAAACAGCTACAAAGATACAAATTGTTTTTATAAGTTTTATTGAATGAGCTGTTATAAATCATATACATGTTCTAATAAATATAATACTAATGATAAAATTTAGATTTATTTAGATTTTAAAATGCTTAATACCTAATACTCCATGATGAACTTACATTTCTATAAGTTGTATAGAGTTCATTTGAAACAATGCATAACTCAAAGCACTCATTATCATCTAGCCAACTGGTTGCTTTATTCATTTTTATCAAAAATATGAAAGTTAAAGATGTGTGGTGATTTCATATGCTCACAAGTGCACTTTAGTCTTAGGAAATAAAATGAAAACATAAAACAGAAAAAATTTAAATAAATCTAGAAGAATATTCTCTTCATTTCTTATCAAATATTATTTAATATCCGATATGTATTTGTACTAAAACAGTAGGTATCCCAGAAAGAAAGCCATCTAAGTGTATCCATTTCAAAGAACCAGAGGAGGAGTACACAGAAACATCTACCACCTCTGGACAGCATCTGAGCAGTGGCAGGCAGCCCCCAGCCTGGCTCCGCATTCTTCTTATTCCCTCCCTCCTAGCCTTTGAGACAGTCATAAGGTATAAATGAGCTTCTGGAGGCTCCATTCCTTGGAGCCAACAGTGAAGTCAAGTTAAGACTCTTACTTTATGACTTTTGGCTAAAATTAACTAAAATTAAGATTGATGTAAATATGCACATACGTTAGTGGTTCATGCAGTAAGGAATTTAACTTTTCCAAAAGGGACATCGTGGTTAAAGGCCAGACTCTGGCCCTTAACTTAAGATAGTGCTTGAAACACAGTAAGAGTTACACAAGTGCAGGTTTTTATTGCTGAAGAAAGGAGCAGCAGTCACAGAGGTGGAACTGAGCTGAAACAGTGCAATGGACTGAATGTTTATGTTCTTCCCAAAAGTCATAGGATGAAATCCTAACTCCCAATGTAAGGTGTTAGGAGGTCATGAGGGTAGAGCCCTCATAATAGGATTACTGCCCTTATAAAAGGGACCCCCAGAGAGCTCTCTAGCTTCTCTCTCTCTACCATGGGAAGATAAGAAAAGTCAGCAGTCTGCAACCTGAGAGCCTCCACCAGAACCTGACCATGTTGGCACCCTGATCTCAAACTTCAAATCTTCAGAACTGTGAGAAATACATTTCTATTGTTTATAAACCACCCAGTCTACGGTATTTTACTGCAGGAGCCCAAACCGACTATGACGAACACTAATAAATCACCTTCCCCCTTCTCTACCCCATCCTCTGCATCCTAACCCATTAATCTAGGGCTCTCTGGCCCACTCAATTCCATCCTTGTTCTTCCATTGAAACAACTTCTACCAGTGGCCAGCTTTGGAGCTAATCACACAATATTGCTTCCTTCCAAACACTTCACACAATTTCCCCTAATTCAATTCAATCCTAATGGGCATACTACACTTAGCCATCATTGTAATCATCAGGTCTCTCTTGCTTCTCTACCTCCATGGAATCAACCCATGGTCAATCCTTCCTTCCAAGCTGTCACATGAATCTTGAAAACCTTTGCTATTTTGACTTTCCTGTGCCTCCCAAGCCAATCTCCCACCTTGGGATAGCCAACTGATCCAATTTCTCTGACCTCAAAAGTATTGCTGGAGAAAGTCATATGACCCTGCTGACTGGCTCCACGGCAAAGCTGTATCATCTCAATTCAGCTGACTCCCTATCAGGTTCCTCCCAACAACTTTCTGCCTCATCCATGGCTGTCCCAAATCTTTTCCACTTCTCAAGCAAACACCTCACTTACTTTACTAGTCATTAAGAGCATAAATTAAACTCCCACAGCATCTCTTTCCTCCTCTTCCCTAAAGTGTACTTGTCCTTTTTCTTTCCAAGGCCAAGTCTTCCATCTGTGCTTTTGACTGTATCCCTTCCAGTCTCCTCTGGGGCAATGTGCCATCAAATCATTTCCTTCCTGAGAACCTTCAATATCTCCCTATACTCAAGTTCTTTCCTCAAACTAGAAACATGGTAACATCTTTCAAAAACCTTGTCTTGCTTCAACCTTCTAGCCATATAATTTAGCATCCCTGTACTCTTTCACTAAGCTTTTTAATAACATTGATACTCTGTGCTGCCACCTCCTATTCGTCTGGTGCCCAACTTTTGTGTTTAGTCCTCATTTCATGTAATTTTCTGTTATATGAGACACCACTGACACCTCTTTCTCTCACTTACCAAACAAAAAACAAACTAAAATCTCACCAAGTCATCAGAACCTTCTAATTGTCATCTACTCTTTTCCTATCTTTGACCTCTCTTTGGCATCTGATCTATTGACGTGTCCCACAGTGCTCCACACGTCCTGGTTCTACACTCTGTCCTGGCTCTCTACCTAGCCCTCTCTTCAGTGATTTCTTTTCCGCCACACACTGACTCTACATAGGATAGCCCACTTCAGTGATTACCTTCGTGCGGACTGTAGAACCTACATTCACAACATACTCACAATTCAGAGAACAATATTGAGGATATGACTCAATTCAGGTAAAGAGAAAAGCAGAGCGCCTAGCACAAAGAAAGCGTTCATAAACATTAGTCATCATTAATGAATCAATGCTGAGAACTCTCTCCCACAAAGATCTTCATACCTTAAACTGTGATAGAAGTTCATCTGTTGCACTTGTTGACACTTCATTCTCTCTCGTTTCAGCCAACCGCAAAATTTCATCTATATCCATTTCCTAAAAGAACAAAAGCCAACACGAATAGAATAAAATGGCAACAGATGAGTTGCCTAGTTGCCCAGAAATTATTCGTATTTACTAAAAATGTTTGGTGCAAATAAACCAATTCTCCTTTCTGATATTTCATTTACTTTCAGTTTCAACTCTACATCTTTTACATCTAATGTCTCAAACTATAATTTATACAAATGACAAGGTGAAACTTCAAAAATTAAAACGAACAGAAATGGGAGAAAAAAACAACCCAAAAAAGTATACTCGAATGCTTTATTAATTCCTTCCTACTCAATTTGGTAAGAGCTATGAGATTCCTACGAAAGAAAAACACACTGTCCTTCAAGTAATTACTTTTTCTTTACAAAAGCCTCTAACAGAATCTTCTTACAGAAAAGTTAGACTCTCACAGATCATACTTCTCAAAAAAATTTCCCTCTCCTCATTGTTAATTACCTGAGGTTCTGATTCCTCCCCTTCCAGTTCTTTGAAGAGATCCTCTGCTCCAAATTTCAAAATAGCTGTCAGCTCTTCTTTATTAAAAGGATTTGAGCTGTGGAAGTAAAATGTAGTTGTTAGAAACATCAAATAACCTCTAAAGTGTTCTACTTCAGAATAACTATCCTTCAGAAAGAGGTCAAGTTAACTGCTGAAAATATAAACTCTGCCTCAAGAAAAATGATTTCTCAAACATCGCATTTTCTATCTACAGGATGAGTCTGTGATGGTAACCCTAAACCAGCAGAATAGAAAATTAGTTACAGTCCTACTGGTTCACCTATTGCATGGGTAAGCCAGAAAGGTGACTAGCAATGTTATAGAATGGAGCTCTTTCCTTTGGCCTTTTACTCAGAAAGTTATAATTCACCAAGAATTTTCAACCTTCTCAACCCCGGTCCAAAATAAAAGAGCTAGGCTTTTCTCATCTAGCTTCCTCTTAAACAGAAAACTATCTGAAAACATTTTATTTAGGAAGGGCTAATTTGAATACACCTTTAACATAGCTGCAGCGGGCACAATGGCTCACACCTATAATCCCAGCACTTTGAGGGGCTGAGGTGGGCCTATCACTTGAGGTCAGGAGTTTGAGACCAGTCTGGCCAACATGGAAAAACCCTGTCTCTACTAAAAAAAAAAAAAAAAAAGAAAAAAAAAATTAGCTAGGTGTGGTGGTGCACACCTGTAGTCCCAGCTACTCGGGAGGCTGAGGCACAAGAATCACTTCAACCTAGGAGACAGAGGTTGCAATGAGCCAAGATCGTGCCAGCGCACTCCAACCTGGGCGACCGAGCGAGACTCCATCTCAAAAACAAACAAACAAACAAACAAAAAACATAGCTGAAACACCACCACAGAAGACACTCAACAATCTGCTCAAAATGTAAACTTATTTTTATTATTATTTTGATATCATTATTATCTTGATAATATTGATATTATTATTTTGATATTATTATTATTATTATCGGTCGCCCAGGCTGGACTGCAGTGGCACAATCTCGGCTCACTGTAAGCTCCACTTCCCGGGTTCACGCCATTCTCCTGCCTCAGCCTCCCAAGTAGCTGAGACTACAGGCGCCTGCCACCATGCCTGGCTAATTAAACTTTATAGGAGATGTAGCTGTGCCTCTTCCCAAAGCCAATTAAAACTTCATTACTTTCTTTTTACACCCTTCTGGAAGCACAACAATCTCCACACAAACATTTTTGCCAATAGTAAAAAAAAAAAACAGCTGCCAATCCAATCTGGATTCTCACTGCAGAAAAGTCAAAGGTGACATTATGCTAGGCTGACACCCAACACACAACTCCACTGCTGTTGCTGTGTCATATGTCACATGAGCAGCCAAAAGCAAAGGTAAGGGAGAGGGCAAGAAAGAGAGGAAAACACATAAGAAGGGGGGTGATGGGCAAAAAAAGGAACCAAGAAACTCAAAGTGAAAATGCTATCCTATTTGTGGTTCTGGCCTGGCATCTTCCAGGTAATGAACAGACTAATGTCTGTGGTAGAAAATCCTATTATATCCAACAGTGATGTAGAATCAATTTGATTCTGCCTACCTCCCAATCTTCCTGGCACTTACTTGGACCTTCCTGAGTTGTTTTCCAGGATCGTCCGGCCAGTGGTGTCCATGCGCTGAATCACCAGATGATCTAATACCATCTTCTTTTTGGCCCGTTCTATGATCTCCTCCTCCACAGTCCCCTTTGTAACTAAGCGGTAAATATTTACCTGTAGGAAAAGGAACTGTTATGCTTATGCCTGAACCACCCCCCAACCCCCCCAAAAAAAGAGAGAAGGATTAGCTCTGTCAAAACCCAAGAGGGGAAAATTTTAACAGAATTTATTCTCTAACCATAGAAGACTGTAAGCCATCCAAGCAGGCAGCTTAAGTAGATGCAATACTTTTACTATGTGCAGCAGGTTACAGTCTTAAATAAAATTGCCTCTAAAGATCTGTCGTTATGGCCTGTTCCATCAATAAAAATCGTGCTTCAGTGATGGAAAGTTCCACAAAAACAGAATCTTTGGCCAAGAATGAAACTTACGGGTTATCCAATATAGAACAGACTTTAAGATTCATAAACAAAAAAGTGTGTGGTTTTCCAAAGTACCTTTAAAGCTAACACTGTCATGTATAATAAAAACAAACCATCTTGAACAATAGGATATTTAACTTTTCCATACTAAAATAGAGAAAATGTTCAGTTCTAAGTCTATTCATCATATATCTCTCTCAAGATAAACACATAGAAGGTCGCTGATGTTGTACTTTTCAAACAGAGAAAAAGAAAAGTTCCTTAATAGGTTCATCTTGGGCCCAAAGACAACATCTCTGTGCTAGTTAACAAACAGAAATCAATGCTTCAGGGGAAATAAAAGCAAAACAGGGAAAAAGCATTTTATTAACATCCTGAAAGGGCTGAACAAGCCCCCTGGCCCCCAACCCTAAAGCAATTTCCAGAAGCCTCTCCATACTGACCTGCTTCTTTTGACCAATTCTATGCGCTCGGGCTTGTGCCTGCAAGTCATTCTGGGGGTTCCAGTCAGAGTCAAAGATGACGACTGTGTCCGCTGAAGCCAAATTGATTCCCAGGCCACCAGCCCTTGTCGAGAGCAGGAAACAGAAGTCCTGTACACAATGCAATATACTACTTTATGCAGTGGCCTTCTCAGAAACAGTTTCACAGTCCAATAAGCCCTTACACCTGGAAACCCCTGCAGGTGTGAAGAAAAGTGAGATATGATGGACAAACTTTATGGAGGCTAAAAGAATGTCAGGGACTTGATGGTAGAATGAATTTTCATTTGATTAAGAGGCAAAGTCAGTGCCATGAACAGGAGTAGAGTAGACTCTAATAAGGCAATGGGAGTGAGAGAATTAGTGCTACCTCCCGGCTACAACTAATATACAAGAAGTTAACAGCAACAATAATAAAAACAGACAAACAATTATCATGGAGATCATTAACTCCAGGAAGTCACCTGTATAATTATTTTTAGGGAAAAGGTAGATTATGCCATGTAAGTCAGTTAGTATAAACAGAGATACTTTATTATATAAATATTTATGTTTGTTAGGCTGGCGAGAAATATAGAAACACTGCACTAAAGAGATCATATATGGTAAGTGTTGAGAACCACAGGATCCTCAATTACCACAAAACATGCCAAAATTATAAAAAAATCAAAACAGGTTTGGCTGGAGAGCGATGTGTGGAACCACCCAGGCACTGACACTGCAGTATCCACAGCAATGACAGTAGACACTGGGCAAGCACAGCACACCTGCCTGCGTCTGAGTGCTCAGAAAAATATGGGGGCAGGAGAAAAAGAATAAAATATATAAGCCGGGGGGAAAAGGTGAAATATTTCTATTTTCAGGGAATTTAATCATATATGTCAAAAGCTGATGCCTTTGTAGCAGAGAGAAGCAGCATTGAAAAACTGGTAGTCCTGAGTTCCATCTTGATAAATGGGTATATTTAGCATACACATAGAGATGCAATGAAAAGGTCTCCATGTTCTAATAGTCACATTCAACAACATTATGCCATAGAAATAAAAATGGAGACAGCTGCTTCACAAGAATTTTAATTAAACAATTCCAATAAAGAAGTGATCAACAGGAGTGTCCAGGCACATAATCTGTGATTCTTAAGAGAAATATTAAGCACCACCACACTCCAAAGAGAAGTCTAAAGATAAACAGTGGACAATTTAAGATGAGATATCTAAAACAAATGAAATCTGGAGTCAAAAAGATCCTATCAACCAACAATCTGCTATATCACTCTTTAGCAAGGATAACGTGGATTATAATATGTCGTCTGCATCTATGATCAAGTTGAAAAAGGTTAAAAAATTATAAAACTCAATGCCACTAACGGTAAGGTAGTTAAATAAATAAATGGTACAAGCATAAGAAAAATTTAGAAATTTAAAAAAAAAATTTTTTTTTTTTTTTGAGACAGGGTCTCATTCTGTCACCCAGGCTGGAGTGCAGTGGGGCAATCCTGGCTCACTGCAGCCTCAAACTCCTGGTCTCAAGGGATCCTCCTGCCTGTCTCCTGAACAGCTGGAACTACAAGCACACAATACTATGCACGGCTCATTTTTTAATTTTTTGTAGAGATAGGGTCTTGCTATGGGCCTAGAAATTAAATTTTGTAAAATCTTTAATAACATGGGGAAACTTTTTTTTTTTTTTTTGGTAGAGACAGGTCTCACTATGTTGACCAGGCTGGTCTCAAACTCCTGGTCTCAAGTGATCCTCCCCCATCTTGGCCTCCCAAAGTGCTAAGATTACAGGTGTGAGCCACTATGCGCGCCTAGCCTCAAAGTATAATTTTGAAGGGAACAAAACTGTATGCAACATGATCCGAATTAGGTAAACATATAAATGGTTCCATCTAGTAGGAATGGAAATACACCCCAAAGACGTGAACAGCAAGTTGTGTCTAGAATGAGGGGTACAATTGTTTTTTTCTTTGTATTCTTTACCATCTTCCCAATATTCTAAGTAAGCATATAATATTTTGTCCCACAATAAATATTTAGTTTTTTAAAGGAATTTTTAAAATACTGCAGAAATGGTAGAGAACTTGTGTTCTATATAGCCATCATAGTGAGTGGGAATCAACTGAGAGCTATGCAAAAAGCAATTTTTTTTTTCCCCTGAGACAGGGCAATATGAAACATTCGACTCATACTATTTTTTAAACTAAGAGTGGAGAACACAAAACCAATTTCAACCAACACTACATGATAAAAATAGCAGATATTTAGAGCGCTTACTATGCACTGGGCAATGTGATCAGTGCTTTATGTTGATTACCAAATTTAATCCTCAGAGCAATATTATGAAGTGGGGTATCAGAATCATTGTGATTTTACAGCTGAGGAAACAAGGAGCAAGGAAAGGAGGAATGGGAATTAGTTGATGACCGATGTCTTTAATTATTCCATTCCTCTTATCCTTAATGAACGAGAGCCTTGGCTCTGAATAGATTAATGCCCCAAGCCCCTCAAGAAGTAAATGTTTAGACTACAGAAGTAGCCAGAATACTAGTCTAACTAGGATTTCTACACTCTAAAGGCAGACAGCAGAGCATTCTGTAGTAACAGGCACAGGCATCAAGAGTTTTTAAAGCTCTTCAGAAAGCTAAGTCTGTTCTATCTGTTTAAAAAAAAAAAAAAGTAGTGGCTCAGGCTCCAGAAATTAGCATTCTCTGTGAAACACTTCTACTTCAGGTTGTCTCCACTGCTTCCTTTAGCTCTACACATTATTACAGTTTTATTCACACCAAAACTTTTCTCTCCCACTTCTCTCAAATCCCATGGCATCTGATGATTTGATATGCACAAACTACAATGTTGTCATACCTTCTATTTCATCCTAAGTAGCTCTTCTATATGTGCCCCCCAAACAAAATACTTCATAATGCCAAATCCAAGCTCGACACTGATTGTAAAATGTTGCTGTTAGCGAGAGCAAGAACATTAAGCCACACTGTATCAGAAGTCCAACAAATTTGAGACATGGCAAATATATTTTTCAGGACTTAGTCACCAAAAGAGTACAGAGATCAGAACCTTCTTATATTAATTCTATTGCCCAACTCTCCCCTACTCCTGCCTTACTGCTCTTCCACGCCCAAGGATTTGGTATCTGGAAGCTACCAGGAGAACCACTCTGTTGTCAACCCAGAACAGGGGAGATAAATAAGCACATATTTATTTTTCTGGAGTGACAACAAAACACCATCTTTTATATGAGAGATTTCTCATTTTCTTCTCAAGGCAAAAGAATTGCACTATAAATTGTTTCTGAAACAGAATACATTAAGCGAGAGAGACTTTCCCCTTGATGCAGAGCCCAAGTTGCTCAAATAACAAAGCCATGCATAGTATACCTCAGACCCATCTGCATTGAAGTGGTCCAGTGCCTGTTTTCGGATTTCTCCCTTGATGGAACCATCCAGACGCTGTAAAAATAAACCACAAGAAAACTGTAAGATAGGAAGATCAGCTACACTCAGAATAGAACAGCAGACTTGGAACCTTTATCACCTGAACACCCACTGAGTAAAAATAACTGCAAAGCACTGGCAAAGCGCTATGAAGAAGCTGTGCTTAAGAAGCACACCCTACCCTACTCGACCTGAGCTCTCCAGTTACAGACTCAAGGTTACAAGCTTCTGATTCAAAGGGCTGTCCAGGTTTAGCCAAGGATCAGAATGGCTGCCAGGACCTAAAAGGAGAAAGACGAAAACCCAACCTGTGCTTGGAGGCTGGGTTTACTTCTGTTTCTGTAGGTACTGCAGAGATTAGGAAATAGGACCACGGGTCACCCAATAATAAGCTCCTGCAGAAAAATGATGCTTCTTAGCTAATGTGGCTAAAACTATCACTTAAAGTGTCACACAAACCAAAAATTTATTTATATAATAATTTTGTTTGAAAAACATTTTGCTGAATCATTGAAAATGTTAAAATTGATCATATATCCCAGCTTTGCCAAAAATTACACTCTGAAATCATAGTAAAGTGTTCAAGCAGCTAAACTACATGAGAATTCAAGAAAGCCCCTGGCATTTATTAGCATACACAATTCCTTTATTAGAACATATGTCAGTTCTACATGCAATACAATGTCACCATAGAGAAACCATTGACACATAAAATACTAAAGAATTATCACCTGCATGCTGTACATTTTATAAAGCATTTCTTACTCTTTAAAATCATTTTTGCATTTCATCCCCTCACAATCACCACTTGAGATGAACAAAATACTTCATTTTACAGAAGGCAAAACTAACCTGAAAGGTGACTTGGCTGGCAGCAGACTCTGTGGAAGGGCCTACATACCCAGAACTCTGCCCACCAGACCTAACTCAAGTCAACTGACAGGTGAGGAGTCCCTTACTTCTTTCTCACTGACTACTCTACTCAGAGCCTTAAACCGAAGACGTATTCAATGGGAGATTCAGAGCCTTTACTTGAAATCAGAAAACCTAATGCCGCCTTTTAATATTCCCATTAGTAGAGGGCATTAATTATCTAAAAGTCACTGACCAAGCTTATCTATTCCCTAGAGAGAAAAACGATGCATTCTTGATTTACTTGGTATCACGGGATTTCCTAGGAATGAAAGCTCATAGGGATTCGATTCACTGACAGAGAAGTGACTTTTTGCAATAGGCTGTTTCTTGATAACAAGCACAGCCTTAAGCTATATTCTAAGACAGCAACTGAAAGACCATATAAGATATTATGGATATAACAATGCCTTTCAGGGTATTTTGAAAGATAATCAATCTGATAGTCTCAAAGGTGGGCCTTCTTAGGAGATAATCATTGGTCCAAGTTTCTTCAATCCCAACATAATTATGTGAGTTGGTAGAAGAGTTCATCCATTCAAAGTTTTAAAAAAAATGTAATAAATCTTAAAAATCAAAGCACTATAAACATGCCAAGAGACAAGGTAAATTGCGTATATGTCTATGTGTCTATAAATAGATCAGAGAATAAGTTTCTACTAGATTATATACACCTAGAAAAATGTTACTATGCGGAAGAAATTTTCCCCATAGGAGATAACTGTGTGAAGACAGTAACTCCAGTTAAGGAACTCCACAGAAAATAGGGGAAGCCATCATCACTTACTTCAGGGAGTAGCAAGGTTTTAAGTAGCAGTGTTCTGCTATGTTCCCAGCCTCACAGCCAGGGTCAACTTTTGGGGGGAATGTCTGATACTGCCCTCTCCTTCTAGGATTTGGGCTCCTGGAATTGAGCTCACACTTACTTCCTCTCTACTTTCACCATACACATGCAATAAGATGCCATCTGACATCCTTTTTTTATCTTGCCCCGTTTGACTTTCTCTAATCCTCCCCACCCACCTTCAAAAAAAGAATCGTCTCCTCATGACCACTTTCATATGGTAGCCTAAAGGCATGCAAGTAAAAATTAAGACCCTCCTGGAATCTTTTTTTTTTTTTTTTTTTTTTGAGACGGAGTCTCGCTCTGTCGCCCAGGCTGGAGTGCAGTGGCGGGATCTCGGCTCACTGCAAGCTCCGCCTCCCGGGTTCACGCCATTCTCCTGCCTCAGCCTCCCAAGTAGCTGGGACTACAGGCGCCCGCCACTACGCCCGGCTAATTTTTTGTATTTTTAGTAGAGACGGGGTTTCACCGTTTTAGCCGGGATGGTCTTGATCTCCTGACCTCGTGATCCGCCCGCCTCGGCCTCCCAAAGTGCTGGGATTACAGGCGTGAGCCACCGCGCCCGGCCCCCTGGAATCTTAACCTTAACTTCTTTGAAACAAGAAAACTCTTACTTCCTACTTTAACAAGCAAAGCATACAACCCAGTGTAGGAAGGTTGGGGAGGGGAGGCGGAGAGAGAGATTGATTCCCCCCACAGCAATTACTGAAATCACCTTACCTGGAAAGGATAGTGTTTAATAGTTAGGTATTCAGCCAGGATATCCAACATTCTCACCATCTGAGAGAAGATAAGCACTCGATTCCCCCTTTCTCGAAGTCTTGTCAACAGTTTGTCTAATAAAATCAACTTCCCACTGCTCCTTATGAGGGACTGAAGATTTAAAAGACATTCCAATAATTATGTTGAAACACAAATTTTAATCTTCCCTAATCTCTACAAATCCATATTTTAAAAATCATCTTAAAGCTTTCTGAAGCCCTTAGCAACCTGCTTGACCAGCAATTCCCGAAATGTTCTTTTTCCCAGTATCTGTTGATACTATACTTTACTTTCCAAATCATTCTTAGTTACCTTTTCTCTCCCATTTTTAAAGCTTCCTTTGATGATCCTTGATAGGTCACCAACAAGGAAATAGAGCATTCTGATGAAAAGCACCTAGAGAAACTAAGCGTTTTTTTTGAGAAAGTAATTATGAGGAACTACCTACCAGAAGAATCTCCTGTCCATTTTCCCTTTCATTTTCTTCAGGGGGTTTAATCAGATAGCAGTGGTTGCAACATTTTTTCAGTTCCATCACAATATTAAGAAAACCAGATGTGCTGCCTCTTGTTCCTTTGGCAAGAGCCTTGTAATTCCTGGTCAGAATCCACCTGCAAATTAAAATGATAATGATACTACTAGATACAAAAAAACAGAAAGTTGTAGGTACCAGAAGAGTATAAGAGATAGTAGTAGTATTGTGGAGAAAAAAAGAGGCCTAAAAAAGTTTAAGAAGCAAAGAATATTTTCTTTTGTATCTCCTGCCATCTAATCATACATCTTTCACATCTCCAGTCAGAATTAGGAATGTTAAAGATTCTGCTGGATATTTCAACCTCACTGAACACAGGAATACTAGAAGAAAACAACTCTCTCTACATATACACAACACACACATATGCTTTACATATATACACACACACACATACATACATACATTTTACATATTTACACACATGTACTTTATACATATTTAAGTGTGTGTGTGTACACAAAGGCTGAGAATCCTAAATGTGAAAATCTAAAATGTTCCAAAATGGCACTCAAAACTTTCTGAGTGCCAGTATGACGCTCAAAGGAAATTCTCATTAGAGCATTTTACAGTTCTGATTTCCAGATTTGGAATGCTTAACTAGTAAGTATAAAGCAAATATCCCAAAATCTGAAATACTTCTGGTCCCCAAGCATTTTTGATAAGAGACTCAACCTGTGTGTGCATGTGTGAATGGAAAATGACTGTCACTGAAACACTCTTCACTGAAATATAAAAATTGGAAATAAGCTAACATTATGAGGTTAAATAAATGTAAATATACCATAAAATAGAGGCTACATACCCATTTTAACATTGTAAAAGAGTATTTTATCTGACAAAATAACTTATCAGTATGTTTTCTACCCAAATTTGGAGGAGAAATACAGATATATTCATGTATACCCATGTATATTCCTTAACCACAAACTCCAAAATAGTAAAAGTACATTTTTTCCTGAGTGGCGCAATTTCTTCATGCTTCTCTTAGAAATCACACTTTAGGAATCTATCTCAAGGTCTTCACTCCAGAACTATTTATAAAAGTAGGTAAAACAATCTAAGTGCCTACCACAAGGAAACTGGTTGAATAAACCATACTATATAACCTCAATGGAACACTATGCATCATAAAGGCCTATCTCTATAAGCTACTATGGGGTGCTCTTCAGCCATGTATCATTAAGGAAAAAAGGAAGGCAGAGAAAAGTGTATACGGTATGCTACCACTTACCTAAGAGAAAGGAGGATATTCAAAGTTAAAATGCATTTGCTTTTATTTAATAATTAAAAGTTAAAGGAAGGATAAGCATTAAAATGTTAAAAAATAATAATAATTATGGGCCAGGTGCGGTGGCTCACACCTGTTAATCCCAGCACTTTGGGAGGCCGAAGGGGGCAGATCACCTGAGGTTGGGAGTTCGAGACCAGCCTGACCAACATGATGAAACTCCATCTCTACTAAAACTACAAAATTAGCTGGGCGTACTGGTGCATGCCTGTAATCCCAGCTAGTCGGGAGGCTGAGGCAGGAGAATCACTTGAACCTGGGAGGCGGAGGTTGAGGTGAGCTGAGATCACACAATCACACTCCAGCCTGGGCAACAAGAGCGAAACTCCATCTCAAAAAATAATAATAATAATTACCTATGGGGAAAGATGGACTAGAATGGAGGGAAGAGGGACTGAAGCTACATTTCTTTGAACATACCAGGCTTTGTAGCTTTGCCTTTGGAAATCTACAAATACTATAATTTAAAAACAAAATTAAAGCAATCCCTAAAAATCAAAACTAAAATGAAATAAATAAATCTATGTAACCATTAGTTGCCTAAAGACACAGAAGAAAAACTATCTTGAGTACTTTAAAACTCTTTTCCACTTCTTGTGGTATATAACCTTAAAAAGCAAAAAAAAAAGTAAAAACAAAACCTGTAAAAAGAAAATCCTGTTGCAGTAAGCTGAGATCGTGCCACTACACTCCAGCCTGGGTAACAGAGTGAGACTCCGTCTCAAAAAAAAAAAAAAAAAGAAAATCTTAACCTGTTTTTACTATTCTTATTGTTGGTGGTAGTATTAGCTTTGTTGTATGTATAGAATGAATTAGCTTGGTGTGGTTGGGAAGTGAGATTTTTAGTATGGCATAAGATCAGTAAGATCAAATAAAATCTCTGTGGTACTGTTCATCATGTATTTTTACCATTAAAAACAAATTTCCCAATTCTGTCCATGTTTGTTGCAGTTGCAAAGAGCACCCCTAGGGCCCAGTATGTGGTCTCCAAATACCATTTCCTCATCTTTGCCATAGTCCATAAACCATCAGAAAGAGGCCAGTCTTCTGAGGATCCTTCAGACTCAACAGCCTCGGACTCGAGGGTACTGCAGAACACGACAGCCTATGAAGTCACACCCAGAAGTGAGGTTTGGTGGGGATGGGTGCTGCTCTACAGTGGGAAGAGCAGAAGGGCCTATGCCTGAGGACAGGGATTGCGGGGAACGCTGGTGGCCCTGAAGTAACTCTGCTCACTTTCTTTGGCTCTCTAGTGCTTTCCCCAATCCTGCATGTTGTGCAGCCTGAAGGCAACAGAATATTAGCCAGGACTCTTAAATTGCAAGTGATAAAAACTCAACTAAATCAACTTAAGTAAACTGGAAGTATCTAGAGTTGCCAGAAAAATCATATGATCAATCAACACCCAAAATAGCACTGACCAACTGACACATTCATGTTGTTACTAAGGTAACACTATTTCCCCTTTTACATTTTACAGTATTAAACTATTTTCAGAGGAAAAACAGAAACAAACAAATATCATTTCCTAGTAAAGGAGTATGCAGAACTTCTTGGATAAATGGCTGACTCTAGTTCTGGGGCAGGAAATGTACAAGATGGATGTGGAACACTTAATCATTCCAGATAGCAAAGAAACTATCAACTACTATTACGGTTATGTCAAAAGGACTACAACAACCAACTTGAATGAGTTCCCACTAGCTAAAAATGGGACTGTTAGAGCATGAATATGGATATTAACTCCAACAGAATTAAACATAAATAGGTGTAATTGATGAGTTCATAATCATATCAAAGTAAATCTCATTGGTCAAAACCTTTGAAGAAAAGTAGATCTTTTCCTTTGAAAATGGCAAAAGTAAAAAAGAATCTTATTCTGCCTTTCCTACATGAACTGTTCCTCAGCTGACATGGGAAAGTTTCTTTTTATAAAAGTATTCCACCTAATAAACAAGTGAGTGATAAAATTTGAATATCACCCTTTTGTACTCTCTAATGAATTAACAGATCTAGGCAATGCTCATCGTTAGTCACTAACATCACAAAAAAGGACATTTATCCTGTGAAACAATATTCCTCTGCCTCTAAAGTCACACTGAATCTGAGTCTAATCAAGCCTTTACACTTACTTATGAGTATACAGAAAACACAGTTCAGAGGAAAAGTGGTTTTTAAAAATTTTTTTATTTTTATAGAGATGGAGTCTCACTGTGTTGCCCAGGCTGGTCTCAAACTACTGGGCTCAAGCGATCCTCCTGCCTCAGCCTCCCAAAGTGCTGGGATTATAGGCGTGAGCCACCACACCTGGCTGAAAATATTAAAGAATGCCATGGAGCTAGAATCAGCAAAATCCAGACTGTGAGAAAAGTCTACAAAACATAAATTCAGTTTCCTGACTCAAAAAATTTATAAGGCAAAGAAAAATAAATTGATTAAAATATACTTAAGAGACATACCAACCAATCAAAATGCATGGAGCTTATATCGATCCCCAAACAAGCAAAATGCATGGAGCTTACGTTGATCCCAAAATAAGCAAAATGCACGGAGCTTACATCGATCCCAAAACAAGCAAAATGCACGGAGCTTACATCGATCCCAAAACAAGCAAAATGGCACATGCACAAACGGAGATATACATACATGTATATGACAACCAGGAAAATGTAAACACTAGATATTACGAAACTGTTAAGGAATTATTAAAATTTTTTAGACATAACAACAGTATTGAAATTTTGCTTAATAACAACAAAACGTTGGGAGGCCGAGGTGGGCGGATCACCTGAGGTCGGGAGTTCAAGACCAGCCTGACCAACATGGAAAAATCCCATCTCTACTAAAAATACAAAAAAAATTAGCTGGGCGTGGTGGCGCATCCCTGTAATCCCAGCTACTCGGTAGGCTGAGGCAGCAGAATCGCGAGACTCTGTCTCCAAAAAAAAAAAAAACAAAAGTATATATATATATCTCCTATCTAATAGTTTCATGGTACTGATCTCAACCCCTTCAGGCCTAACCCAAACAAGAACTTACTTGTAATACTGTTTCTGAAGGGCTGACATCTCCACCCTGAGAATCTGTTCCACTTTAGCAGGAAGGGATTTCTCCACATCTTTTTTGACTCTCCGGAGAAGGAAAGGCTCTAGCACCTTATGAAGACTCTGGTAGCCATTTTCTCTCCCCTTCCCATGGTCTTCTTCAAAATCTTCCCAAAATTCAAACCTAGGGAAGAAACAGTATAGTGTTATTTAGCCACATTGAGGAAAAGAAGAATAGGAAAAAAAACTGTAAAAAAATGAATCTTTCCCATAAGGAAAGACATTATCAATCACTAGAGCTCTTAAATAGAAGGGAAAACAAAAAGGGGAAAAGTAAAATGAAATCAACTCCATCAGTCTACACTGGATAATAGCACGTTTCCAATTCTCAGACTGAATTCAGAGTTAATAAAATACTTCAGTCTATCATGTAACCAACATCATCTAGAACTACTCAGTAACTACTCAAAGCACATGCCCTCTGGTAAGATGGAACGTCAGATATAGCTGGTGCCAGTACTGCCAATGGATACAACAGCCTCAAGAAAGTCACCGTCATTTCTGAACTCATAAATAGTCATTCCTTTTTTTTTTTTTTTGAGACAGAGTCTCGCTCCGTCGCCCAGGCTGGAATGCAGTGGCACAATCTCAGCTCACTGCAACCTCCACCTCCCAGGCTCAAGTGATTCTCCTGCCTCAGCCTCCCAAGTAGCTGGGATTACAGGTGCCACCACCACACCCAACTAATTTTTGTATTTTTAGTAGAGACAGGGTTTCATCATGTTGGCCAGGCTGGTCTCAAACTCCTGACCTCAAGTGATCCGCCTGCCTCGGCCTCCCAAAGTGCTGGAATTACAAGTTTGAGCCACCATATCCAGCCATACATTTTATCAGGTATTGTTAAGTGAATCAACATCAGCCTTAGTAACACCCGGTATGGCCTGAAACAATCTACAGGGAAGCAGATTATATGATCTTTTGGGGTAGACATCTAAAGTCGTCATTAAAGCCTACAGCCTGATAAACCTAAGGTAAACTGTATTTTCTCACACTGCTATGCTATTAAGCAAATACTCCAAGAACATAAAATAGGTGAGGAATTAAAACTAATAATTCAAATGCACAATGAAAATTGAACTATCTCTGGCTGGGCGAAGTAGCTCACACCTGTAATCCCAGCACTTTGGGAGGCTGAGGCGGGCGGATCACCTGAGGTCAGGAGTTCGAGACCAGCCTGGCCAACATGGTGAAACCCCATCTCTACTAAAAATACAAAAATTAGCTGGGCATGGTGGCAAGTGCCTATAATCCCAGCTACTCAGGAGGCTGAGGCAGGAGAATCACTGGAACCCAGGAGATGAAGGTTGCAGTGAGCCAAGATCATGCCATTGCACTCCAGCCTGGGTGACAGTGAGACTCTGTCTCAAAAAAAAAAAAAAAAAGAAAAGAAAAAAGAAAGAAAGAAAACTGAACTATCTCAATGCTGGAGATGATACCTCACACACTAAATGTGTGAAGTGACCGGAAATCAGTAGAAGTAGAAATATCACTGTATCAGGCTATTTTCTGAATACCTGAGAGACAATTTCAATAAGCTAATTTACCTAACACATGTTATAATAAATTAAAACTTTACTAATCTAAAAAATTAAATGTAAAGTTTATTTCCAAGATTTACTTCCTCTATGTTTTAAGCAACAAATATTTTCACCTGCCTACTGTACTCTTATTATATTAAGGGAGTTAATATGAGACACTAGTTCTTGATCTACACACACTGAGGAGATATAAGTATCATTTATTTGTTTATGAATTCTCTATGGCTGCTTTTCCTCTAAACAGCAGAGATGAGTGGCTAACAATGACTGTGTGGGCTATGAACCAAAAATATTTACCATCAGATTCTGAGTTGGTTTTTTTTTTTTTTTTTTTTTTTTTTTTTTGGAGAAAGAGTCTCGGCTCTGTCGCCCAGGCTGGAGTGCAGTGGTGCGATCTCGGCTCACTGCAAGCTCTGCCTCCTGGGCTCCTGGGTTGACGCCATTCTCCTGCATCAGCCTCCTGAGCAGCTGGAACTACAGGCGCCCACCATCACACCCGGCTAATTTTTTGTATTTTTAGTAGAGACAGGGTTTCACCGTGTTAGCCAGGATGGTCTCGATCTCCTGACCTCGTGATCTGCCCACCTCAGCCTCCCAAAGTGCTGGGATTACAGGCGTGAGCCACCACGCCCGGCATACTATCAGATTCTTTAGAAAAAGTCTGCTGCCCTGAAAACAATTATTAATTTATAATATTAGATATAGAAAAGGTATAAGGTCATAGTGGTGATGTATAAAGACACCATGTTACATCTAAAGATTCATATTTTAGATAAATCCCTGCTATCAACTTCTGTATTTAATATTTGTCTCTCACAGAACTAGAAAAAATTCTGATCTTTATAGCTTTGCAGAACACGGAATTTTAGAAAAATAGGTTACTTTAATAAGGACCAACAACGGAAATTAAACCAAAGCAGTGAAAATGGTATGCTAAAAGTCACACAGTAAATATGTAAAAGGAAAAGTGCAAAAAAAATTAAGAGATTGGCCTAGACGACAGAAGTAAAAATTTAAAAAATCATCCCAACACTAAAAGATGTAATCTCTGAAATACATGCTATCAAACTGACTTGTTTTCTGCGGTAAGTCTGAAGTATATATTTGCACATGATGGTCTTTATAAGCCGAATTTTTCAATCTTGTCATATCTTTTTCTACCCTTAATACCAAGTTCCATGCTTTGCAAACAGTATGTACAAAATGAAGCTATTGATTGATAAGTATTCCCAATATGGTTAGTCATGTGTACTCCCTGTCAGAGCCACCCTGCAGGAAAGGCACTTAGACTCTATACTAAGGAAACAGAATTTCAGTTGGTTAAAAAGAGGACTAACTTTTGGATTTTGAAACAATAGCCTGTAACATTTGAGTGGGGAAGTTCCAAAGCTATTTGACTAAACCTAATTCTCTCCTTTACAATAGTTTTTCTTCAGTGGATCCTTTCTTCAAAAGCTCTGTAGAGTCCTAAGGTACCTCAGGAACTTCTGCTGAGGATGAGGCAAAATACTTCACAAGACTATAGTTACCCATCCAGCAAGCTCAGGCAGAAATAAGGGCAAATCTGAACTCCTTAACTAATTGGTTTCCTTTTCATATACATATCTTTGTGAACAACAATTTTGAAACTTTATTTGAAAATGACAATGCTTTAAACACAAAATTTTCAAAGAAAAAAAGATCTCTTTCACAGAAAAAAACTTGCATCTCTAACTCTAACCTATCATTCCATAATTGATTCAACTGGCCAAAGGAAAATTTTGGAAGAGACTCCCTGAATGATAAAGTAATTGAAAGTTCCTCTCTCCAATTACAAAAGAAGGATATATGACATTTTTCCAAACATAGCCCATGCTGAGTGGAATGCCACAGCTACTTAATGGCAGGAAAAAGCTAATTATGACCACTTAGGAGCAAAATCCCTACCATCCACTTCAGCAGGTAGGTACACAAAAGCAAATCATGGCTAAGTATTCACTGGTAGAAACTACATACCACAATTCTTTTTCTATAAAAACAAGCACAGATGTTCCCACTGTGTCTCATAACTCTTACTACGTAGGGTGACCTTACTTCGTCTCAATGGTTTTATGAAGGATGTATTTTTTTCTCCTAGAACTTGAAGTTCAAAGGACACTGGCCTTGGTCACAGAAGATTTGCTATTGATCTTCGTCTATCTACTTATTGACTGTGTCATACGGGACATCTTTTAATCATCTAAGCCAGCATATTCTTATTTGCAATATGTAAATAAAGGAAGCCCTTCAGACTAAAAGAAAGCAATACCCAACAGCGACCTGAATACACAGGAAGAAATGAAGATCACTGAAAATGATCAAATATATGGATAAATATGAAAGATAGTATATATTTTTTTTCTCTTTTCTATATGTCCTTAAAAGACAAACCTGTGGAAAGCAATAATTATTTCCTTGTATTCTTGGATTTATAACATAAGGAAGTGAAAATGGAGCTACAGCGGGGCAAAGTTGCCCTATTTTACCAGAACTGAGTCAGTACTAACCTGAAGAAGACTGATGCATACAATCCCTACAGCAACCAATTACAATTTTTTTAATAGCAAAAAATTAACAGGAATTAAAATGACACACTGAAAAATACTTGCTGAAACAGAAGAGGGCAATAAAGGAGAAAGTGGAACAAAAAAGATGTAAGACATATGGAAAACAAATAGTAAAATAGCAGAAATAAATCCAACCATATTATTAATTCTGTTAAATGTAAATGAACTAAATATTCCAATCAAAAGGCAAGGATTATTTGCCTGGATAAAAAAGGTACATCCAAGTACAGGTTGTCTATAAGACACATTTTAGACTTACAGAAAGAAGTAAGTTGAAAGTAAAATGATGGAAAACAGTATACCATGCAAATGGTAACCAGTTCGAATGATGGAAAACAATATATCATGCAAACAGGAATCAGAAGAGAGCTGAGGAGCTATAATAAAATCACACAAAATGGATTTACAAAACAATAAATATCATTAGAGGTCAAATGGGACATTCTGATATTGACCAGAAAAAGGTCAATACCTCAGGAACATACAAAAGTTATGAATGGATACATACCTAACAGAACAACCCCAAAATAATGAAGCAAAAAATGACTAGAAGACAAAAACTCAACTACAGTTAAAAATTAAAATATTTCATTCTCAATAATTCAAAGCACAACTAAACTGGCAGTTAGAAAAGATATAAAAGTCTTGAACAACACCATTAACACCACACTGAACGGACATTTACAAAACACTACTCAAACAAAGGCAGAATACAGATTATTCTTTACAAGCACTTATCGGACAGTCTCCAGGAAAGAAAGCATACTAAGACTATTTAATAAGTCATAATAAATTCATTTAAAGCATGTTCTCTAAGACAAAACCGAATTATAAGACATTTGGAAAATCCCTAAATATATGGATATTAAACACCATCCTTCTGAAAAACCCATGCTTCAAAGAATAAATCACAGAGAATTTAGAAAATAGATGAAATCAAATGAAAACAAAAACACAAAATTATCAGTATTTACAGGATGCAGCTAAAGCAGTGCATAGAAGTAAACATACCTTTAAACAACTAGAAAAGAAAAAAGTTTTACATCAGTAATCTAAACTGTATCTTAAGAGAAAAAGAGAAAATTAAATGAAAAGCAAGCAAAGGACGGCAACCTTTGAGAGTGGAAATAAACAGAAAAACAGAGGGTCCGGGCACGGGGGCTCACGCCTGCAATCCCAGCACTTTGGCAGGCCAAGGCAGGCAAATCACAAGGTCAGGAGTTCAAGACCAGCCTGGCCAACTTGGTGAAACCTCGTCTCTACTAAAAATACAAAAATTAGCCAAGCGTGGTGGCAGGTGCCTGTAATCCCAGCTACTCAAGAGGCTGAGGCAGGATAATCACTTGAAACTGGAAGGCGGAGGTTGCAGTGAGCCGAGATCGCACCCTGCACTCCAGCCTGGGCAACAAATGCAAAACTCAGTCTCAAAAAAAAAAAAAAAAAAAAAAAGAGAAGAAAAAACAGAGGAAGAAACCAATGATGTCAAAAGTTGCTTCTTTGAGAGCATCAAAATTGTTAAGCCCTTAGCTAGAACTGACCAAGAAAAAGAGCTAAGATACAAATTACCATAATCAAGAAAATTAACTTTAATCACTATTGATCCTTAAAAGAATCTACCAGGCACAGTGGTTCATGCCTATTATCTCAGCATTTTAGGAAACAGAGGCGGGAGGATCACTTGAGCCCAGAAGTTCGAGACCAACCTGGACAACTCAGCAAGAACCCATCTCTACAAATAACAAAAAATAAATTTTAAAAATTAGCTGGGCATTGTGGTGCACATCTGCAGCCCCAGCTACTCAAGAGACAGAAGTGGGAGGATCCCTTGAGCCCAGGAGTTCGAGGTTACAGTGAACTATGATCGTACCACTGCACTCAGCGTGGGTGACAGAGAAAGACCATGTCTCTTAAAAAAGAAAACTAAAATTAAAAGGCTAAGAGAGTACTATAACTTTATGCCAACAAATTAGGACAAGTTAGATGAAACAGACTAACTCTTAGAAAGACACAAATTAACAAAACTAAGTCAAGAAGAATAGAAAACTTAAGTGAACCTGTAACTGGAAACCAGGTTAGTCATTAAAAATTTTCCCACAAAGTGAAGGTTGACATGGCTACACTGGTGAATTCTAGTAAATATTTAAAGAAGAAATAACACTAAACTTACACAAACTCCTTCAGAAAACAGAAGGGAAACGCTCTCCAATTCATTTTATGATCCCAAAACCAAAGCAACGTAAACATCAAAACAAAACAAAAAGCTATAGACTAAAATCCTAATTAAAATAAAAAACACAAATGCGGCCAGGCACAGTGGCTCACGCCTGTAATCCCAGCACTTTAGGCGGCGGAGACAGGCAGATGCAGATCACTTACGGCCAGGAGTTCGAGACCAACCTGGCTGACATGGCAAAACCCCACTGTCTCTACGAAAAATACAAAAATTAGCCGGGCATGGTGGTGCATGCTTGTAATCCCAGCTACCTGGAAGGCTGAGGCATGAGAAATGCTTGAACCTGGGAGGTGGAGGTTGCAGTGAGCCGAGATGGTGCCATTGTACTCTAGCCTGGGCAACAGACGGAAACTCTGTCTTAAAAAAAAAAAAAAAAAAAAAAAAAAACACCAAACAGATGCAAAAATCTTTAACAAAATATTAGCCAACTGAATCTAGCAATGCATAGAAAGTATCAAACACTGTTAACAAGTCAGATTTATGCTAGGAAAAAAAAAGTTGGCCTAATGTCTAAAAAGCAATTAATGTAATATACTATATTGTTAAAGGACAAAACCACATGGTCATCTCAACAGACACAGAAAATAAGCATTTGACAAAACCTAATATCCATTCTTTATTAAAACCTCACAAACTAGGAAGAAAAGAAAACCTCCTCAACCCAATAAAGGTTATCTACAAAAAACATCTATAGCCAACATCCTGCTCCCACCATTTCTATTTAAGATGGAGGTTCCTGCCAATACAATAAGGCAAGAAGAAGAAATAAAAAGCATCCATTTTGGAAAAGAAATCTTTAGGTACAGAAAACATAATCCTGTCTATAGAAAAATACTAAGAAATACAGAACAATATACACACACATACACACACAGTAGAAAACAGTAAGTTTATCAAGTTTGCAGGATGTAAGATCAATATACAAAACCCAATTGTAGTTCTATAATAGGTTATATTTTTAAAAATTCCACTCCAAATATAGTCAGAATTAAAAGAATATTTTGAATGTATAAGATTTCTAAACTAAAAACCACTAAACACTGAGAAAAATTATAGAAGATCTAAATAAATGGAGAAAAACTTTCCATGATTATGGATTAGAAGACTCAATATTAATAATTTTGCTTTAACTGATATATGATTCAACACAATTTCTATCAAAATTCCATATTTTTCTTGCAGAAATTAACAACCTGATCCTAAAATGTACATGGAAGTATCAAGAATTCTAGAATAACCAAAACAATTTTGAAAAAGAAGAAAATGGAACTTGTACTTCTCCATTTTTAAAAAGCAGTCTAGGCCGGGTGCAGTGGCTCACGCCTATAATACCAGTACTTTGGGAGGCCAAGGACGGTGGATCACTTGAGGTCAGGAGTTCGAGACCAGCCTGGCCAACATGGCAAAACCCCATTTCTACTAAAATACAAAAAATTAGTTGAGCATGGTGGTGCGTGCCTGTAATCCCAGCTACTTGGGAGGCTGAGGCAGGAGAATCACTTGAGCCCGGGAGGCAGACGTTGCAGTGAGCTGAGATTGCGCCACTTCCCTTCCAGCCTGGGTGACAGAGCAAGGCTCCATCTCAAAAAAAATAAAAAATAAAAAAACAGTCGAAAGCTACATTAATCAAGACAGTGTGACATTGGCAGAAGGACAGAAATATGTATTAATAAAACAGAACTGACAGTCCAGAAACAAAGCATGACATTTATGGTGTCAACTGAGTTTCAACAACAGTGTCAAGGCAATTCAATGAAGAACAGATATTCTTTTCAACAAGTGATACTAGAACAATTTCCCAAATTCTACTACAAAAACATGAACTAAGGCACTCACACTTCACACTATAAACAAAATGTAACTCTGACTTAATACAAAAGCTAGAACTTCTAGAAGGAAATAAAGAAGCAAGTCTTCGTGTCCATAGGTTAGGCAAATCTGTGTCAGATATGATATCTAAAGCACAATCCATACAAAGAAATCCATAAATTAAACTTCATCAAAATCAATAACTTTTTCTCTTTGAAAGACAACATTCAAAAAGTGAAAAGAAGCCACAGATTGGGATAAAATATGTTCAAATTATATACAGATGCTCCTCAACTTACAACAGGGTTATGTCCTGAGAAACCCATCGTAAGTTTAAAACATTGTTAAATCAAAAATGCATTTAATGCACTTAACCTACAGAACATCACACCGTAGCCTACCCTGAATGTGCTCAGAACGCTTATCATGAGGATATTGAGCAAAATCACCTAACGCAAAGCCAACTTTATAATAAAGAGTTGAATATCTCATGTAATTTATCGAATATTACACTGAAAATGAAAAACAGAATGGTTGTGTTCATTCAAAGTATACTTTCTACTGAAAGTGTATTGCTTTCATACCACTGAAAAGTCAAAACATTTTACATCAAACTATAGAAAGTTGGGGACTGTACTGATAAAGCACTTGTCTTTAGAATTTTTTTAAAAGAAATAAAAAACCTCTTCAACTCATAATAAGACAAACAATCCAATTTTTTTAACCCATTTATGATAGAGGTTGCAATTTTTTGAATTTTTTGCAATCAGACCTTGGCAATGACCTTGAGCAGTAGGATATAAATAATTCCCACATGCTTAGAGTTCCAATGACGGAACACGACGCCTGAGTTAAAATGCCAAAACATTTGAATAGAAATTTCACCAAAGACATACAAATGGCTAATGAACACATGAAAAGACGTTCAACATCATTAGTCATTAGGGAAATGCAAGTCAAAACCACAATGACACACATTCGCCAGAACGGCTAGAATCAAAAAGACTGACAATGCACCAAGTCCTGGTGATGACGCAGGGAAACTAGAACCTTCAAACATTTTTGGTAGGACTGCACAATGGTAGTCACTTTAGAAAACAGCGTGGTAGTTTCTAAAATGTTAAACATAAACTTTCCAAACAATCCAGCAATTCTATTCCTAAGTCTCTAAGCAAGAGAAAGAAAAACATATGTCCACACAAAGATATAATAACCCCAAAACAAAGCAATCCAAATGTCCATCAACCGGTAACTGGATGCAATGAAATATTACCCAATGAAAGAGAACACCTACTGACAGACTCTGACATGAATGAATCTCAAAAAAAATATGCTAAGTGAAGGAAGCCGGAAACAAAAGCCTACATATTAGGATTCCACTTATATAAAACTTCTAGAAAAGGTAAATCTCTAGAGACAAAAGCTGATTACTGGTTGCCTAAGGCTATATGTGGAAGCAGAGGTTAACTGCAAACAAGCAAGGGGGAACTTTTTGGGATGAGGAAAATGTTCCAAAACTGGACAATGATGATGGTTGCAAACTATAAAGTTACTAAACAAATTTAAATTTAAAATTTAAAAATAAAAATAAAAGTAAAAAATAAAATTTAATCCTGAATTAAAAAAAAAAAGATTGTAGAGCATATATCTATCAACTGAACAACTATTAACTGAATTGTTTACTGTGCACCAGGTGCTATTCTAGACAATGGGAACCAGCAATGAATCAAGCAAACAAAATCCCTGCGATTTTCATACATAATTTAATGACATGAGATGAATGAGAACATAAATGTAAAAAGAGATGCTATATAGACACTAAAACAGGTTAGGGATAAGATGTCTAAAGGGCTACTTTAGGTTAGGCAATCTGCAAAAGATTTCTGAAAGGAGGTGGTCGTTTAAGATGAGCTGAAACATTAAGGTGGTTGGCCATGTGAAGACAAGAAGAAATATAATTCTAGTCAAGAAGGAATAGTAATGGCTTGGCATGTTTAAGGGACAGAAAGATAGCCAGAATGGCTGAAGCATAATGAGTAATGGAGAAAGTGGATGAGAGGAATCAGACTATTGTCAAGGGGCCAGACTGAGTGGAGTCCTCCAAATTAATGAATATAGATGTTATTCTAAGTATCGCTGAATACCATTGGATAATTTTAAGTTTTATGAAATGTGCATATCATCTCTCCCATAAAAATCTTTTCAATAAACACATTCCATAGTTCTTTAATAATACGTGAATAAGATGTAAAATTGATGCTTCGGTTATCAGATATTTGAGTATAACATACTTTTCAGTGCTTGTGTACCTTGTATATTTCATTTTACTTATATTGATTATCTTATACCAACAGTGAAAAGGTCTGATGTTATCTATTTAACAATTATTTCCCAAGTGCATTAACTAATTCAGCCTTTCAGCAGACAATACTGCTTTCCTCCTTAACAGGCTAATTTCTGTGCCTTCTTTCATTGATTATGAAACATTTTACTACCGCCATCCCTGCCTCCATTTGACGCTTTGCTTTCCCCAAACCATGCCATCTGTTTTCCCTAAGGTCTACTAAGAAAGTTAAAAAGCATTGGCATTTCAGACATTCTAGCATCTTTTGAAATACACAGGAAGGAGCTTACTTCTCCGGCATAATAAAGTGCAGCAAGGACCAGAGCTCTTTGAGGGAATTCTGAAGAGGGGTCCCCGTAATCAGGAGCCTATGGTTGGACTTGAAATCAATCAGAGTTTTATACAATAAAGAGTCATCATTCTTCAACCGATGGGCTTCATCCACTCCCAGAAAGGCCCAGTTAATACTGCCCAGCACAGTCTAAAGTAAAAACAAAACAGAACGAGCCA